>NC_000020.11:7187547-7339062 GCF_000001405.40 Homo sapiens | reverse complement strand
TCATTTACGATTCTCATTTAAACCTCTAAAATTGAGAGTAAATACAAATTTTCACAATGTTTTCTTAAAGATAGGTAATAACCTTGTAACTTCCTATTTTTCTATTATTATCTGGATTAGTAGAGTATTGAAGAATCTATTGAGCAAAACTTTTTTTCCCCAATAATATTTCACGTTTCATGTTTCATGGACTACAATACTACAATAGCACTGTAGGTTATATGTCTTTCTAGTCCCTTAAATATGCTAGCTGATTTCTCTAAATTGTCCTCAGACCAACATGGTTTATAAAATAAGAGGTTTATTGTACATATATCATTATCTAGTGCTAAGTATTCAATGGTGAATGGATCAGACATTGTACTTATCCATTAAACTTATGCTTGCTCTACTAAGGGTGTGTTTGGTTTTACAAGGAGAAACCAATTCTTCAACTCTTTAACACCAACTGAGTATCCAACAATTCAATTCAATTCTGACGCTAACCATCCAGAGATAAAATAGATCCCACAATTTAAGGGCTCAGTCCCACTAGACTGCACACACTTCAGGTGCCAGTCACAAATGGGAACTTTAGACTACTTGTGCTTCTGCCTACTATAAATTATGGGGTTTTCACAACCCCCTTGGGTTTTATAATACTCTAGAACAATGCACAGAACTCAGGAAAGTATCACTCTTACAATTACAGTTTTATTATGAAGGATATAGCCTAAGAAAAGCCAAATGGAAAGGATGCATAGGTGAGGTGTAGGGGTGGGTGAGTTTCCATGCTCTCCCCATGCACCACCTGGTCAGCACATCTATGTGTTTTCCAACCTGGAAGCTCCTAAATCTCATTGTTTAAAGTTTTTATCACGGTTCCATTACTTAGGAATAATTGATTAAATCATTGGCCATTGGTGATTCAACTCAATCTCCAGCCCCACTCCCCTCTTCAGAGATTGGAGGGTGGCCTTTCTGGTGACCAGCCTCCATTCTGAAGCCACCTAGGGTCCTCTTCCCTGCCTTGAGTTACCTCCTTAGCATAAACTTAGGTGTGATGAGAAAAGACATGCAATGAATAACAAAGACATTCTTAGCACTCAGGAGAGACTTTTGGGAACTCTATTATAGAAACTGGAGACAAAGACCATTTTTCTTCCCATTATAACACAGGAATACGGATAAGCAGTCAAAAAAAAAATTTTAAAGATTTCCTCTCTCTGACATCATCTCGAATCCACTTGACTGCACACACTTAACTACCAGCTGTGCCAACTCCACTTCTCCCCATCCAGAGCTTGTCTCACCCCATGTGAGTTTCAGTGTCAGAATCTGAATTAATCAGGTATTTGTCAAGTCCAGTAGGGAGCAAAAGACACTCAGATGGGATTCTGAATAAAACTTTGATTATGGGTAAAAGATGGTGAGACTCTCAGCAATTAACAAGAGTGGAAATCAATTAATACTGTAGGACTTGAGGTCAGCAAAGTTGGGAAAACTGGTGGGAACTACTAAATTTTTATCCTAGTGCCAATATTCATAGTAAAATTGAAAATTACCAACAACCTAAGTGTGTATTGATAGGGAAATGAATAACAAAATTGTACATATTTTATATAATATCATAATAGCATTAAATGATGAAATTTGATCTATAGGTATCAGTTTGGATGAATCTTGAAATCATAATGTTTTATGAAAATGCAAGTTGGAAAATAATATCATAGTATAACTTGTCTTATCAATAATAAATACTGGAAGTATACTTTAAGTATGTTTATTTATACTTAAATACAAATATACAATTCATGGAAAATGTTAAGGATATAAAACAATAATGCTCTTGCTATAGATACATATATAGAGTGAAAAAGTAGGTAGGGAACTGTAGTTTTCTCAGGATTAGAGGAAGGGGAGGTGGTGGGGCTGGGGAGAAAAACTTATCAGGGTTTCTGTTAGCCAATAAAAATCCTTTGAACAAAATGTTAAAAGGTAAACCAGCTTCTTGGAGCAGATGCAGCCCCTCACCAGAGTGTATGACTAGAATCAAAACCCAACCTCCCTGGCTGTACCTCTGGGAAATGAAAGAAGGGGAGAGGAGGGCCAAAGTAAGACTTCATCTCTATCTACATTGGTTTATTTTCTTAAAATGAAAAAGAATAAGATCTGAATAAAATATGTCAAATATCAGTGTATGACCATTCTTGTTGGTGAATAGATGAGTAATTGTTACATTGATTACTGTTCATTTTGGTATTTTAGAAATATTTTAGTTTTGAAATCTTTAAATTTTGTAAGCACAATCCTGTATCAAGGATCAATTATTTATATCATAGTATCCGTTCTTTTACACAGCCTATGAGATCCATAGACCTGCTTGGAATCTAGATCAGCTAATTAATTACCAAGACTCCTTTCATTACCTGTGAAATGAGACAATAAACCTATCTGCTTCATAGGATTGCTGAAGACTTGTCTTTGATTGTTATTATAAGCATCAAAACTGGTAATGACTATACACACACAAAAATGTGATAATTATTTCTCCAGTGTGAGAAAACGTAGTGTGTCTAATAAGTTTAGTAAATTAAATACTTCATTTTTCACAGTTAGTAAGATAGAAGGTTAGGATTCCAATTGAGATCTGTCTGATGCAAAAATGGATAATTTTTATAGCAATACATACACCAAAAGGCATTACTTGAATGGTTCGTGCATTAGGTAAAGGGACATAGACATTACAAGAAAGAGAAGAGTAATGTTTATGTAATACGTTAATGTGTGAGTAGAGTAGAGAGTGGCTAAATGCATAAAGAAAAGTTAGCAAAAACTTATCTTCACATAGAAACTACATAATTACACATGCACCGGGGTCAGAACTGCAAAATCAACTCCTACTGGGGTAAATGTCTAATTCCCATGAATGTGCCAAACCTATGTTTAACTCTTTCCTCTTCACTGTTTGGAGAAACAATGTGATTGACAGAAATAGTATCAATACCTTTAGAGTAGGCATTCTGATAGAAAAAGCCTACAAACAGTTCAGCTTAAGCCAGCAGTATTCAACATCAAAGCCTATGATAAACAATATTTTTGTTAGCCTTACAGGCTGCTGTTAACACCTTTAGTTTGGATAAGAAAATTACCTCTTAAACTCTTGCTACTCTGTGTCCATCACCTCCTGTATTTTATACAGTGAAAGCTTACCAAGGGTATAGGTATACTTCCATGAAGGTTTACGTACTCAGCCCAGGTGAATTAAATGTACAATTTCTGTTTCATAATGATTTGCAGACTAAGATCATGTATTTTAAACATTAGCACCTGTAGATTTATTGTTGAGCATGTTCTTTGTTATAACATAAATTCATACAGATTTTGTTGTATTTTTCAAAATGAATTGACATTTGAAACCTAATTGAAGAGAATCTTTAAAACAAAAAATTAACACTGACACCAAGAATGTGTTTAATAAATTTGCTCCAAGCCTTAAAAATTCAAAAGGAGCTTTTTCTTCACTGCCTACTGCAAAGTACTACATTCATTAGGTAAATAAGAAAATATCAGTTTAACAATTCCATTACCATTCTCTCTTACAAATAAGAAAATATTTTATTTCATTTCAAAAAAGAAAAAATAGATTGAAAGTAATTTTAAAAAATATTTATCAGGAAAAAATATTCATGAATTTAAAAAAATTATTAAAATTTATTTAATCAAATAATTCAACAATAAATATTCTCACCTTTCCACCACCAAAGACCCTTAAACCTGAGTATATTGAGTACCTATCCACAGAAGTGGTGTAGGTACACTTCTAACATCAACACTTTCCACAGCCTTAGTTGAGAATCTAGAATACACTAGAGCCCATTCTGTAATATGACCAAGGGGTTGGAATTTCATAGTTCATAACAGAGCATGTGTTATACATATAATTAGCAAGTACACACACACACACACATACACACACACACACACACTGGCTCAAATGCCTTCTGTCCAAGTATTTAGAAGTAGTAGTTAAAAGTGCTGGACAACACAGGTACTACAGTCAGATCACCTAGATTCTAATTTGATTTTGCCACTCCCCACAAGTGTGATTTGGGGTTTCTAATAGCAATTCCTTTTCCTTCCTCAGTCTGCAATCTTAATCATTAGCTATGCAAATAGAGTATTGATATTCATCCACACATCCCAGATAGGAGCTGGCATTTCTGAGGTGTACACTTCTAAATAATATATTTACCCCAAGTCACTAAAATTGTATCTGAAGAGAATATAGACATTAAATGACTCACTAATATTTGTTTAGATCTAAGAAACAACAGGGAGGCCAAGACACATATGTTTGTTTTTATTTTATACACATGCATACTCACACATGCCCATATTTTTTCCCAAGTGAGGAAAAAAGACAGGCTCATAGTAATTCATAAGAATAACAAAGAGAAAAAATATGCCTTCCAAACCCAGCCAAATTCTTGTTAGACTTTGAAAATCCTAGTCTACCAAGGCCGTTTTGGATCAAAATGAATGCTTCCTAGATTTACTTTAGTGGGCCAAGGGAATTGGTGTCCAGTTGGAAAGACAGAGGAAGTGAACCATTTGTTAAGGAGAATTAAGTCTTTGTCTGCTGGACAACTCAGATAGACTTCCTTCCCCAGTTCCCTTCTGTATCTTGGCAATGAGCTGGCTCAGCAGCAATGAAACTGGGATTTCTACACACACTTGGCTTCTGTATGCAAACTCCATTAAGGGTCTGAAGTTCAAATTCCAAGGTCAATTTACCTGACTGAAAAGCAACGAACCTCACTGTAAATATTTTAAATGGTAGCAGAGGCATGAGGTCTCTCTCCCGATCATAATCCACAATGTACTCAAACCTGCCCATCTTAGTGTGCCTTCCTATAACATGCGAGACACTGAGCTTGACTTGTGTTCTGCTGATTCTTTGCCCTACAAATTTCCCCAGTAAAGCTCCACTGATGACTACATCTTATGACTAGTGGTGTTTGTCTCAATCCTCAGGATTGTCAGAGGCATACATCTGAAAATTAAATCATGTGGGGTTTTCCCCTCAAATCCTATTGTAGTTACGACTCATAGGCACTTCCCTATTCTATCTAAATCCATGAAACATTTTTCTTCTGAATTTCAAAGGCAGATGTCTTAGTTTATTTATGTTGCTATAAAGGAATACCTGAGACTGGGTAATGTATAAAGAAAAGAGGTTTATTTGGCTCACAGTTCTGCAGGCTGTATAGCATGGTACCAGCATCTGCATCTGGTGAGGGCCTCAGACTATTTTCACTCAAGGTGGAAGTGAAGGGGAGCTGGCTGGCCTCATCATGAGAAAGGGAACAAGGGAGAGAGGACATTCCCACTCAGAAGTGTTATCAGTTCCTCTCATGTAACCCATCTCAAGCTGAACTTACAATATTTCATGTCAAACCTGCTCTGATGTCCCTTCGTGGTAAGTGCATCATCTCCTTGTTATTTGCCCAAACCTGAAACCTTGAAGTTATTCTTGTTTGCTCCAACATTCTATGTCAACACTAAATTCTGACATTGTGCGCCCTAAGTAGTTTTAAAGGGTAGCTTTGTTGCCCTGGTACCAGTGCCATTGACCCTGTTCAGGCCACACCCTCCTTTCATGTCTGAATGGCTGGGGCAGTCTCTTGACTCTTCTAGTGTTTCATTCTCCACACTAATTCCAGGGTGAACTTTATAACTGTAGGTCTGATATGTCTTTCCCTTGTTCTAAACATTCTAACCACCCTCCCCTTATTGCTTTTAGGATATGGTACAAATTCTAACATAATGGAGTCCCAGCTAACTGTATCTTCTAGCAATCCATACAGAAAACATTTTGAACTAGATAAGAATTCCATGTGCTCCTTAGGCTTACCCTGACCAAATCTTACTCATTCTTAAAACTCAGCTTAGTTGACTCTTCTTCTACACTAATCGGCCACTACAGTGGTTACTTTTGCCATTCTTCTTCATATGCCTATGTGGTACTTATTGTACTGTACTAATAACTAGTAAATATGGCTGAGAAGACATACATACAAACATCTTTGTAAACTGCGTTTAACAATGGTTGAGAAAAGATAGATGAACTCAAATAGGAGATGTTTATTTTGCCAGAATAATTTAGAAGAAATAATGGGGGCCCAGGACTTGACAGTTTACAAAACAAAACAGTATCTAATCTCTGGTATTTCCAATAGACAAAGATGTTTTAAATAAAGATATCACCTCAGGGCAAACATGAAAACAAAATTGTGGCTGTAAGAGCCTTTGCTAAACTCTCTGAAAGACTTAAGTCAGTATCTAGTAAACCCTTTCAGATAGACAAAAAGGCATTTAAGAAATTAAGAGCATCGTTACATGGATCCCTAATTCCAAAGTGGCTCTGAAAAAGTCTAAGAAAGAAGCCACATAAAGAATCATGGGTATGATTTTTGTTGAATGGAGTAGACTATATTCCGATACATAGGGAAGCCAAAGTAATTTATAGGAAGTTGTAGCACCTTGACATACAAGTGGACAGACAGTACAAAATTAAAACGGGCCCCTGGGTCCCCAATTTTCACCAAGCAGGAAACAGGATGAGAAAGTGTCTCAGTAGAAAGTACAGAACATATCTTTTGGAATAGGAAAGACATTACAGAGTGCAGAGCAAACATTCTAGCAGGCAGAGTCAAAGCCCAAAGTGCAAACCAGTATCTAAAGACAACAATGAACTAGAGAGTTACTCCCAAGGAGCAAAACAGAGCCTTAATCACAGAATATTTTCAGCCTCTAGAATATAAAAACCTGATACTGTGTGCTCTTTCTATATTGTTGTGCTCCACTGTCTACCATGGAATTTTTGTTCCTTCTCTTTTTGAATGGCACTGCCTATAGTAGTTACTATGCCATCATCTCAGTATCGTGTATTGGGAATAAGGCAGCAGATAATGCATATTTTTATAGGTCTACAAATCAAGGGAAGCCATAGTCAAGAAGCCCCATCTACGTCTGATATGGTTTGGCTGTGTCCCCACCCAAATCTCATGTTGAATTGTAATACCCAATGTTGGGGGAGGGATATGGTGGGAGGTGATTGGATCATGGGGGTGAATTTCCTCCTTGCTGTTCTCATGATAGTGAGTTCTCATGAGCTCTGATGGTTTAAAAGTGTGTGGCAATTTCCTTGTCACAGGCGCTCTCTCTCTCTCCTGCTCCACCATGGTAAGATGTGCTTGCTTCCCCTTCATCTTCTGCCATAATTTTAAGTTTCCTGAGGCCTCCTAGCCATGCTTCCTTTATAGCCTGTGGAACTGTGAGTCAATTAAACCCCTTTTCTTTATAAATTACCCAGTCTCAGGTAGTTCTTTCTAGTAATGTGAGAATGAACTAATACAACATCTGAACTAGATGCCATGTTTTATATGTTCTACTCGGGTCTAATGCTATGATTGAATGGGATTTGTGGGCAGTGTTATGTGGGTTCCAGCTCATAACTCCTTTTAAGAGCTGATCGTAGTCACCTTTTCCCAACTGGCACTCAGTGATGCCATGTCAGTAGCTTGAAATTAGGCATGGTGGTAGTATGTATACCACAAAAATGAGCAAATGCTCCAAATCCGGGCTCTTTTTTTTTTTTTCTCGAAAACTCTTTGTTATATACCACTGTTTTCAGGGATCTTAGGAAATGGTGTGTTTTGCATATAAGAAGAATATAAATAATTGTAGCCAAGGAGAAGACTGTGCTACATTTAAAATGGCCACACATTATTTTTAGCTTCTCTCTTTGATAGGTGGAATTTATTTTTTTACCCTTTGGATCTGGGCTAGCCTTTTGACTTGTTTGAACAACAGAATATTGTGGAACACAGGTTGTATGGCTTCCAAGTGCAGGCCCCAAGAGGCCTTGCTACTTGCTCTTGTCCGATTTGGACATACTGTTGCCATGTAAGCATGCCCAAGCCAGCTAACTGGAGGTAAGATCAGGAGGACCAAGGACATGCTGTTCAGCTGAGGCACCTTAGCCCTACTAGGCACCAGACAACTCTCCAGCGGACAGCAGCTGTATCAGTGGCACCAGGGAAGGTCAGAAGAAAAAAAAAAACACCCAGTTCAGCCCAGTCCAAATGCCGACCAACAGTATCATGAGCAAATAAAATTGTTGTAGCAGGTTTATTATTCACCAATGGATAGGTAATAAAACAACGACTTGTTATGCAGCACTCTTTAAGTTATTTGAATCCCAGCATTGACCTATACATTGATGGGATTGATATTTCACTACCCAAATTATATTAATAGGTCAATAAAAGAGGATCAAGTTCTGATCCCAATATGTGACCTTGAAAATCTCCTTCCAGATGTCAGTTCCAGACATCTGTTCATTAATAGGCAACTTTTGGATGACTATACATCTTCTTCTAATTTATTAAGTAACCTACCATTTATTAGGTTACATATTTTTCTATAAACATTGATTTAGAGTTTTTGTATTGTTTTTATTTCTGCTTTTTATTTAAGCAGTACTATTAAATAGGACCAGGTAACAGGATTCTTTACTAATCCTTTACAATTTTTTTGCCATAATTTTTGTTTCTAAAAACTTTAAAGGAATAATTCTGAAACTATGCAACTAGAGAGCTATTAGAAGTCTGTGTTGTAACATTGTCATGATTAATTCATTAATTTATGTGTAAAACCCTTACAAGTATCTGAGGGAAAACTACGTCAGTCCCAGACATACCTCAGAGCTTAACTTGGCTGACTTTCCTGAACTTGACAAAGTAATGCTAAGAGACCCATTTAAGTCTATTACATCTAAGACTTTAAAAATTCTCTCTGAAAGCTAAGTCAAACCTTCTACTTTAGTTTAGCAGAAGAGAGAGCCAAGGGGGTAATGTGAACTCTTAGCTTTTACTATTAATCTTTTGAATTTAAGTGTATTGATTTAAATATCTAGGTCAAAATTCTTAAACTCATGTCTAATAGCAGGAAGACAGATGTGTACATGTTTTCCAGAATCACGTGCAAGGTGCTAAATACACATTTACCATGGGTAAGTATTCATAGGAGGACCTACTTCAAATTCACTGGTCTCTCTTAATTCCTCAACGTTATTACTTTTATTTTTCATGTCTTTGCTATTTCAATTTAAATTTTTGTTGCACTCATAGAATTAAAAGGAAATAAAAATACTGTTCATGTTTTCTTCTTTCATTCTCCATGCAGTGGAGATCTATTAGAAATAAGTGCCATAAAGAGAAACATTCAGGTTAAATTCAGATTTTACAATTTTTTATTGGGTAGTTTTTTTGTGCATTTTCATGGTAAAATTATTTGTTACAGAAGTTATACAATCTTTTTATTCTACAAACATTCAGTATAATCTATGAACATTAAAATGCTCAAATCTTAAGCATACAGTCCTATCTTTGGCAAATGTATACAACCATATAACTATTTTCTAGATAAGATTGTGTTTTCATTGCTCCAGAAAATTTTCTTGTGTACCTTTTCAATCAATACTCACTCGAACCACAAGGTAACTACTGTGCTGACTTCTATCATCATACAATAATTTTGTTTTTTCATGGATTTTGAATAAGCATTGTATATACTCCTTTGTGCCTCACTTATTTTGCTCAATATAATCTTTTAACATTTAAGCATGTTTTTGTCTACTGATAGTCAATTATCTTTACTTCTGTGTAGCATTTCATTATATAAATATACCACAGTGAGCTTGGCCATTTTTCTTTTGATAAACATTTGTATTACTTTTAGTGTCTGGCTATTATATATAAGACCAATATGAGCACTCTTAGCCATGTCTTTCCAGAAACATAAATATTTATTTATCTTGTGTAGAAATGAAATAAAATTGCTGGGTTATGAGACAGGTACATGTTTAATAGAAACCTCCAAACATATTTCTTTTGTATAAATGTTTTTCCTTTATTTTAAATGTCTCTTATTACACATTTAGCTATAATCAATATGTTATTTTTGAATTGTCCAATATTTATATGGATTGTGTCATCTGTATAAATCATACATCATACTCATAATGTATACATTTTTAATAACATGTTCTTAAATTTAATTACACATATTCAAACAATATTTTTATCCATTCCCCTATGATAAATATTTGTTTTCACCTTTTTGCTTCTACCTTCAAGCTACACATGCATGTCTCCTGATGCAGACAAGCAAAGGTTTCTCTATTCTGTGAAATTGTTGGTTTATAATAGAGCATGGGCATTTTCAATTTATAAGAAAGTGATAAATTTTTTCCTAGTTTAGGAAATTGTTAAATTAATTTTTACTTCCAACTAAATAATAAGAGAGTTTCTTATTAAACGAGGCTCAAAGAATGTAGTCACCTTACCAAGTTTATATTGCTAGTAAGTAACACATCTAAGATTTGCACTCAGGTACTCTGATATCAGGTTCTCCACCCTCTTCATTGCAGCTCTGCCACCTGTGGAACATATAAAAAATCTATCTTGATTTCTGATTGACATGTGATTGGTCTAATGTTTGATATGTCACTAAAGCCAGGAGAGGATATCATTGAATATTGTATGGAAGTAGCTATTGCATACTATAAGGGATGGCTATAATTGCTCTTTAGAGCAGAAACTATAGGGAAACACTTGCAGCAAGCAGAACCTTAGCAAGAAGAACACAACTGTGTCCAGGGATGAATCTATATTTATAAGTTAGCATTAGCTTTCTACTACCCTAATGCCTTCAGGACTACCACCAATCTGCCAGCTCATTCATTACCTATATCCACAGTTTTCTATTCTCTCCAACCTTTGCCATTAAAATCTCAACTGTTCCCTCCTGTATGCCTTTAGTTATTTACATAGAGTCAAGTAATTTATACATTCATTCATGATGCAATAACAATGCAAATTATGGTTTAATTTAATCCTCTTTCCAGTTAAGATGTTAGCATAGTGATTAATCTAGCAAACTCTGTTTAATAATGGATCTTAGGAATTGTGACTGATTAATGAGTAATGAAATATATTTGGTGAGGTTTCTTTTCAATGCCTTCAAATGGTTCTACACAGGCTTAATCATCTGTGTGGAAGCTATTTCCAGCCAACAAAACTATCTTCATGTAGTCACAAATACCATCCATTTCATTAAATCTCATCAATGTTTTGCAGACACCTCATAGGTAAATGATAGCCAAGGGAACAGGCTGGTAGGTTAGTAAATAGTAAAGACTATTTTAGTATTTTAGTGTCTGTAACATTATTTTACTAATAATGTAAACTAATATTATGATCCACATAAAATATTTGTTTTGTTTTCAAGAGGGTTCTTTCTGATCCTATCTTCATAAGTCTAATTTCTAAAAGGGAATATCATTAATAGGATATAATATCTATCACTTACCTTGAATTGATCCATACAGATTGTATACATCTATCAAAATATCACATGTACTTCCAAAATATGTACAACTATAACATATCAATAAAAAATACCCCATAAGTGTATATGTAATATTTTCTATTAGTTTGCTTTTGAAAGCAATCCCTACCAGGAGGTTTGGACAAGTCAAGTAGACAGAGTAGAGCATGGAACATTCTAGAACAAATACTACTTATAAAAGTTAGTCATCTGTTCCCAGTTGTATCATAATATCAAACTTAAAAACAGAGTCTTACCAAGACTGTCTAGTTGCTAATCAAACCCATTTTTTTCTTTTTCCTGAGCACAGAGTTACATATGTTATGGCTTTCTTAGTAATTAAGTGTGATCATGTGACTGGGGACTAGCCAATAGAATGTCAGTGTTGTTCACAGCCTTTCTAGGTCTGGACCACAAAACCTTGCCACTGGAGGAGAACAAAGTACAAGATGAAAGGGGTCCTGGTGTGATTACTACCAGAGAGAAAAGAGTAAAACCTTTGAAAAACATAAAAATGATTCATGGAAAACAAAGCAAAGTATTTTTTAAAAACACTCGAATTAAGTGTGCTATTGCATCTGCAAATAATAAAAGGAATCAATTGAAATCTAAAAAGAATGGACATTCTTATAGCTTTACAGGTGTCTTTGGTTTCTCATTTGACATAAATTAAGTAACTGAAACTTGAATTCACGGCCAAAACAATATGGGTTATACTATTACAAGAAAGATCTAGAATAACTTCAGTTATTCAACAATATACATTAAAAAAATCCCTTGACCCTATGGCAAAAGATTAGAAAAGGAAAGCACATCTGCATGTTTTAAGTTAAAATAAAATGTTAATTTAAGCATGTACATTTTTATTAATTCTACTTTTAAACTGTTGTTGTTGTTTTGTGGAGAGCGTATTTATCTAATTAACCACTGGTTCCAATTATATGAAATTATAAAGCTTCCACGGAAATTGTAATATGTGGACAGTGCTATGTAGTATTAGAATAAAAAACATAAAGGTGAAAAAAGACTAGCTGTTTATGAGTATTAATATGTTGGGTTAATTCAAGAAGCTCTTTTCAAAGAGTTGCCGTTAAAGTAATGAGCTGGAGTTTGAGAAGGTGATAGCACTGAGCAGTCAGAGGAAGGGTGCTCCAAACAGAGACAGCAGTCTAAACAAAGTGGGAAAGAGCTCAGCTTTGTGAGGACAGGAAAGTAGGCCAAGCTGTGGTGGCTTTAGAGAGAAGTAAGCCGAGGCCAGAGCAGGCAGGAATTGCCATGGTGGGAAATTTGGATGTTACTATAATTGTAGTGAGGAATCATTGCAGATTTTTAAACAATGGGCAGCATTATTTTTAGGTTTTAAAACGATTACTTTGGATGTTCTCTCTAAAGAATATATTGGAGATGACAACAGTGGAAAGAGAATTTTGTTAGGGGATTTTACAGCAGTCTAGAAAATTAAAAATGGTAGCTTGGTCCAGGGTCATAGAGGTGGTGATATAAAACAGTGGGTGCCTCCAAGATAAATCTGTAGATGAAATTAACAGAACGTGCATTGAATCCAAGAGTGAGAGAGGGTGGTGGCCAAGGAAACTTGAAATTTTTATTTGTTTATTTTTTTGCTTTCTGGTTTTGTTCTTTGTTCTTTGGTTTTTTGTTTGTAAGAAACTCCTTAACTTATGAAGCCATTTTGTCATAGATGAATGATGAAGTAATAAACCAAGAAATCGAGTTTTATCTTTACCTTTTATGTACCTGCAAAACATTCAAGTGGAGATCCTAAATACACAGTTTGATATACAGGTAAAGATTCATTAACATATTAATGACACTTAAAATCTGAAAAGAATCTCATGATGCAAATCTTTCTCCAGAAGCAAATTTGAAGGAGTTAATATATAAAGAGTATAAATATTGTGCCTTATAAATTAATGTTTGCATGACATCAACATAATGAAACTAAGCCATACATTTGTGGCAGTTTACCCCATGCTGTGAAGTCAAAGCGCTCACTCATGGAAATTCAATATAGATCATGCATAATTTTATAACAAAGTTTATTTTTTTCTCTTGAGACTCCCTTTGATAGAGAAAAATTAAGAATTAAAATTTCGGACAACTCTGATTACAACAACTACGAGAAAAGAAAATTGCTCAAATTTATCTGGAGAATTTTTATTTATTGTTTGTTTGTTAATTTCTCTTCTTGTTTTAATGGGCTTTATTTTATCTGGCTCCACATAAAAAAAATAAAAGGGAAGAACGTATTTGGCCCAACACATTTTTATTGAGTGACTAATAAATGCTAGTCATTGCGTGGATACAATTAAATTTCTTGGTTCTCACACAATGTTGTTGTAATATGTCTTTTTATTTTACATAATTTAAAAATAATTTTAGAGACAATTAATAGCTGTAACTCCATGGGATAATCATTAAGTTCAAAACACTGATATACTTTGAACTACTCTGGGGAAGCATCAGGTTTAGATAACAAACGTGCACATGTATATACTTATGCCCTGCCTTCAGTATATTGCAAGAAAAATATTGATACAAGACATGAAAGATATTATCAAATTAGAATAAAAGAATAATGTGTCCCCAATTATCTTGTCTTCTGCAGAGATGAGAAGTGTGTTCCTTCATGTTCATCTAATATTAAATTAATTGCAAAAATGCTGCTGGTGGTTGGAACCAAAAGGAGAAGGAAATTCCATCATCAAGAAAACTCACATGTTCCCCACCTGCTTAATTTCCAAATATTTTTCAGATGTTTGAGAATGAGATAGGAGTAGACATCTTTTTCTGACCTTAAAAAGTCATGCTGTTTAAATAGCATCTAAATTCCTTACCCCTCGGTAATATTGATCAGATAGTTTGTGTCCAACAAATGTGATGTGTGTAGATAGTGGTTTCTGAAGAATATGCACGGGTCTGCAGGAAACAGCACCCTCACAAACTCAATCCAGGCACCACAAGCCAGGTGCTATGAAAGATGAGTCCTCATGTTCATGACCTAAAGAATCTATCATTTCTGAGGCTAGAAGAAAACTTCGATGTCATTTTATCCCACCCACACTTTGAAAATATGAGATATTTAGGTCCAAACAAACACATCGTCTAAATTAAAAGGGAAGGAAAGCAGAAAGAAAGAAAGAAAATGAGAGAAAGATGAAAGCAAGCAAGCAAGACAGAGAGAAAGAAGGAAGCAAATGAGACATTGTTATATTCAATCAATCTTGTGGGAAAAAATAAAATATATCATTTGCTGACACACCTAATGCTGACTGGAAGTCAGGAGCCACTTACTGTGTCCTAGGTCATAATTAAGTGGATGTGGGGCATCAGGCATGCGACTCATCTCCTGGGGTCTTCTGGTAAGTTAGAGATCATCTTGCAAAGGATGGATTGGTTGCTTGCAGAGTTGGCATTTGCCATGAGCAAATGGCAATCGTATGACTTAGGCCTCTGGAGCATGTGACAGGACACAGACAATTTGTCAAACAGCAGATGACGTGGCATTGTGGAAACCCACAGCCTCGGTGGGGAAAGCAGAATCTGACATCAGACAAGTCTTTAAAGCTGATCAGGAAAAGCCTTAAGTACCAATGTAAGAAATCATGGAGAGTTCATGGAAAAGTGCGAAAATGTCCAAATTTGCATGTTAGAAATAGGACATCTATATTCACGTCACTATAATGATAAATTAGAAGAGGAAAAGTCTGAAACCTTCGACAATAGTTAAGAGATTTTTCCATAAACTCAGGTAAAGAGGATAAGACCTGAATAAATCAGCAGAGTTTTGATGGAGGAAAAGTAACATATTTTCAGGAGGTATTTAGTTGGCAGAATCAATTAATTTAATTATTATTTGATAAGGTAAAGAATACTTAGCTGTTCATCCAAGTCTTTTCTCTCTGAGCTCCTAGCTAAACTCCCTGTTCCAGCATCGTTTATGCTTAAGTGGAGCTATATCCCTGAGTTCTCGCTAACAGAATATGACAAAAGTGATGTGTGCCAGCTTTGGAGGAAAGAACCTCCTGTATACGTTCTTTCTCTTTTCGCTGGCTGTACAATGACTGTGGAAAATGAGGCCCTAAAAAGTGGCAGAACCATCAGGTGCAAATAACCTTCGTCATTGAATCATTGTATGGAATAGAGTCACTGATAAGAAACCCCTGCCTTGGACTATTATATGATCAAGAAATAAACTATTTTATTTCTGGTTTGAAAGACATAGTGAATGGTTTTAACGAATTAACATAGGGTAGTAGGGCTCAACTGGAGGACTAAGTAATTGTTATGGATTGAATATTTGCAGCTCACTCCGCCCATCATTTATATGTTGAATCCTAACCCCTAAAGTGATGGTATTAGGAACTGGGGCATTTGGGAGGTGATTAGGTAATGAGAGAATCTCCCTTAGGAATCGGATTAGTGTCCTTATAAAAGAGACCCAAGAGAGATCCCTCACCCTCCACCATGTGAGGATACAGTGATGTGAGGATACAGTGAGAAGGCACTGTCTATGATCAAGAAAGTTGGCTCTCACCAGACACCAAATATGTCAGCACCTTAACCTTGGACTTATC
The DNA here is from genome assembly GCF_000001405.40 of Homo sapiens. Classification (NCBI taxonomy): domain Eukaryota; kingdom Metazoa; phylum Chordata; class Mammalia; order Primates; family Hominidae; genus Homo; species Homo sapiens. The sequence goes on along the minus strand of NC_000020.11, from coordinate 7,323,031 downwards.
ACTGTCCAGAACTATGGAAAATGAATTTACATTGCTTATAAGCCACCAAGTTTATGGTGTTCTATGAAAGCAGCCCGAATAAACTTAAGAGAGTAAGTTAAATTAATTATTTTAGTTTTGGACAGGTTGATGGTGAAGGGACACAGCAGAAGAATAGCCACTCCTTGGCTCAGAATCCTGCAATGGCTTCCTCTTTCATTTGGAGTACAGCCTAAAGCCTGTACACTAGTCCATGTGGACCTGCAGGATGTGTGCTCTATTGCCTCTCTGACTTCTACTCACTTGTAGGAATCTTTCACCTCCCTGGTTAGTGGTATTCCTAGGTATTTTATTCTTTTTGCGGCAATTGTGAAAGGGATTGTGCTCCTGATTTGGAACTTGGCTTAGCTGTTGGTGGTGTACAGAAATGCTAGTGATTTTTGTATATTGATTTTGTATCCTGAAAACTTTGAAACTTTGCTGACGTTGTTTATCAGCTAAAGAATCTTTTGGGTGGAGACTATGGGCTTTTCTAGATATAGAATCATGTCTTTCTTCAATCAGGGATAATTTGACTTTCTTTCTTCCTATTTGTATGCCCTTCATTTCTTTCTCTTGCCTGATTGCCCTGACCACAACTTCTAATACAATGTTGAATAGGAGTGGTAAGAGAAGGAATCCTTGTCTTGTGCTGGTTTTCAAGAGGAATGCTTCCAGCTTTTGTCTATTCAGTGTGATGTTGGCTGTGGGTTTGTCATACACTGCTATTATTATTTTTATTTATGACCCATCGATACCTAGTTTACTGATAATTTTTAACATGAAGGGATGATAAATTTTATCAAAAGCCTTTTCTACATCATTTTTTAATTTGTCTTGAGACAGAGTCTCACTCTGTCACTCAGGCTGGAGTGCAGTGGTGTGATCTCAGCTCACCGCAACTTCTGCCTCCCGGGTTTATCCATTTCTTCTAGATTTTCTAGTTTATTTGTGTAGAGATGTTTATAGTATTCTCTGATGGTAGTTTGTATTTCTATAGGATCAGTGGTGATAGTCCCTTTGTCATTTTTATTGTATCTATTTGATTCCTCTTTTTTCTTCTTTATCAGCCTGGCTAGTGGTCGATCTATTTTGTTAATCTTTTCAAAAAACCAGATCCTGGAATCATGGGATTTTTGAAGGACTTTTCATGTCTCTATCTCCTTCAGTTCTGCTCTGATCTTAGTTATTTCTTGTCTTCTGCTAGTTTTTGAATTTGTTTGCTCTTGCTTCTCTAGTTCTTTTAATTGCAGTGTTAGGGTGTTGATTTAGATCTTTCCTGCTTTCTCTTGTGAGCATTTAGTGCTATAAATTTCCCTCTAAACACTGCTTTAAATGTGTCCCAGAGATTCTGGCATGTTGTGTCTTTGTTCTCACTGGTTTCAAAGAACTTCTTTATTTCTGCCTTAATTTCATTATTTACCCAGTAGTCATTCAAGAGCAGGTTATTCCATGTCCATGTAGTTTTGCGGTTTTGAGTGAGTTTATTAATCCTGAGTTCTAATTTGATTGCACTGTGGGCTGAGAGACTGTTTCTTATGATTTCCATTCTTTTGCATTTGCTGAGGAGTGTTTTACTTCCAATTATGTAGTCAATTTTAGAATAAGTGTGATGTAGTGCTGAGAAGAATGTATATTCTGTTGATTTGGGTGGAGAGTTCTGTAGCTGTCTATAAGGTCTTCTTGGTCCAGAGCTGAGTTCAAGTCCTGAATATCCTTGTTAATTTTCTCATTGATCTGTCTAATATTGACAGTGGGGTGTTAAAGTCTCTCACTATTACTGTGTAGGAGTCTAAGCCTGTTTGTAGGTCTCTAAGAACTTGATTTATGAATCTGGGTGCTCCTGTATTGGGTGCGTATGTATTTAGGATAGTTAGCTCTTCTTGTTGCATTGATCCATTTACCATTATGTAATGTCCTTCTTTGCCTTTTTTTGATCTTTGTTGGTTTAAAGTCTGTTTTATCAGAGACTAAGATTGCAACCCCTACTGCTTTTTTTTGTTTTGTTTTGTTGTTGTTGTTGTTGTTTTTGCTTTCCATTTGCTTGGTAAATATTCCTCCATCCCTTTATTTTGATCCTATGTGTGTCTTTGCATGTGAGATGGGTCTCCTGAATACAGCACACCGATGGGTCTTGACTCTTTATACAATTTGGCAGTCTGTGTCTTTTAATTGGGGCATTTAGCCCGTTTACTTTTAAGGTTAATTTTGTTATGGGTGAGTTTGATCCTGTCATTATGATGCTAGCTGGTTATTTTGCCTGTTAGTTGAGGCAGTTTCTTTATAGTGTCAAGGGTCTTTACAATTGGGTATGTTTTTGCAGTGGCTGGTACTGGTTTTTCCTTTCCATATTAGTGCTTCCTTCAGGAGCTCTTGTAAGGCAAGCCTGGTGGTGACAAAATCTCTCAGCATTTGCTTGTCAGTAAAGGATTTTATTTCTCCTTCGCTTATGAAGCTTAGTATGGCTGGATATGAAATTCTGAGTTGAAAATTCTTTTCTTTAAGAATGTTGAATATTGGCCCCCACTCTCTTCTGACTTGTAGGGTTTCTACAGAGAGAGCCACTGTTCCTCTGATGGGCTTCCCTTTGTGGGTAACCCCACCTTTCTCTCTGGCTGCCCTTAACATATTTCCCTTCATTTCAACCTTGATGAATCTGATGATTATGTGTCTTCAGGTTGCTCTTCTTGAGGAGTATCTTTGTGGTGCTCTCTGTGTTTCCTGAATTTGAACGTTGGCCCGTCTTGCTAGGTTTGGGACATTCTGGATAATATCCTGAATAGTGTTTTACTGCTTGGTTCCATTCTCCCTGTCACTTTCAAGTATACCAATCAAATGTAGGTTTGGTCTTTTCACATAGTCCCACATTTCTTGGAGGCTTTGTTCATTAATTTTCATTCTTTTTTGTCTAATCTTGTTTTCATGCTTTATTTCATTAAGTTGATATTCAATCTCTGATATCCTTTCTTCCACTTGATTGATTTGGCTGTTGAAGCTTGTGTATGCTTCATGAAGTTCTCATGTGTCTCTTGTGTATGCTTCATGAAGTTCTGTGTTTTCAGCTCCATCAGGTCATTTATGTTCTTCTCTAAACTGGTTGTTCTAGTTAGCAATTCCTCGAACCTTTTTTTAAGGTTCTTAGCTTCTTTGCGTTGGGTTAGAACATTCTCCTTTAGCTTGGAGGAGTTTGTTATTACCCACCTTCTGAAGCCTACTTCTGTCAATTCGTCAAACTCATTCTCCATCCAGTTTTGTTCACTTGCTGGCAGGGAGTTGTGATCCTTTGGAGGAGAAGAGGCATTCTGGTTTTTGGAATTTTCAGCATTTTTGTGCTGATTTTACCTCATCTTCATGGATTTATCTACTTTTGGTCTTTGATGTTGGTGACCTTCAGATGGGGTTTCTGTGTGGACATCCTTTTTGTTGATGCTGTTCCTTTACGTTTGTTAGGTTTCCTTCTAACAGTCAGGTCCCTCTGCTGCACGTCTGCTGGAGTTTGCTGGAGGTCCACTCCAGACCCTGTTTTCCTGAGTATCACCGGCAGAGGCTGCAGAACAGCAAACATTGCTGCCTGTTCCTTCCTCTGGAAGCTTCGTCCCAGAGGGGCACCCACCAGATGCCAGACAGAGCCTCCTGTATGAGGTGTCTGTTGACCCCTGCTGGGAGGTGTCTCCCGGTCAGGAAGCATAGGGGTCAGGGACCCACTTGAGGAGGCAGTCTGTCCCTTAGCAGAGCTCAAGTGCTGTGCTGAGAGATCTGCCCCTCTCTTCAGAGCTGGCAGGCAGGAATGTTTAAGTCTACTGAAGCTGCGCCCACAGCCGCCCCTTCCCCCAGGTGCTCTGTCCCAGGGAGATGGGAGTTTTATCTAAAAGCCCCTGACTGGGGCTGCTGCCTTTCTTTCAGAGATGCAGTGCCCAGAGAGAAGGAATCTAGAGAGGCAGTCTGGCTACAACGCCTTTGCCAAGTTGTGGTGGGCTCCGCCCAGTTTGAACTTCCCAGAAGCTTTTCATTGTGATTTTGATTTGTATTATTGAGACAATTAGTGAGGCAGTGCGCCTTTTCATATATATGCTGTTCATTTGTATATTGTCTTTGGTGGAATTGTAGTTTCAAATTTATCCAAAAGAAAAATACACAAAAGAAAACAAACAAACAAAAATCTCCAGGTCCACGTAGTTTTACCGACAAATTCTACCTATCATTTAAGAAAGAAATACTACTAATCTACACATCTTCTTCCAGAAAGTGAAAGAAGAGGATATACTTTTGAAATCATCTTATGAGGCCAGCATTATCCTAATTCCAAAAGCAGATCGGAGCATTACAAGGAAAAACTGCTATAAACATTTATTGCTCATGAATATAGACACAAACATTCATAACAAATATTGACAAATAAAATTTAGTAATATATGAAAAGCATAACAAATCACAATTAGTGGAGTTTACCCCAGGAATACAAGGCGACTTCATCATTCACCATTCATTCATTGCAATTTACCATATTAAAATTGATACATTAGTATATGGAGAAAAAGCCTACAGTAAAATCTAACACACATTGTTTATGAAACATTCACATATATTAACAATAACAATGCTTTCAAAATAAATTATTGTATTCTAATAAGAGAGATGTATGAAAATATCTACAGCTCACATAATACTTAGTGGCGAAAGACTAATTGACTTCTCTTAAGCTCTACAACAAGGCAAGAATGGCTTCTCTCACCATTCCTATTCAATACCAACCTGGAAGTTCTAGCTAGTGCAGTGAGGCAAGGAAAAATAAAAGGCATACATTGGAAGGGAAGAAATGAATCTATCCTTATTCATGAATAATATGATTATCTATATAGAGAATTTCAAAGACTCTACAAAATATTCCTGGAACTAATGTGTGAATTTTACACAGTCTTAGAGGTTATAAGACTAACCAACCAAAGTCAAATGTATTACTACTATATACCAGCATTAGCATTTGGAATCTGAAACTAAAATAATAAAATAATGCTATTTACAATAGCACCCAAAACTGAACTACTTAGGAATAAATCTAAATATAGATAAGATCCATTCATAAAAACCTACAAAACACTGATGAAAAACATAAAAGAAAACCTAAATAAGTGAAGAGCTATACTCTGCTCATGAACTGGAAGACTCAATATTAAGATGTTAGTACTCTCATATTTGTTCAAGAAAATCAATATAATCCCAGTCAAAATTCAAGTAAACCATTTTGTAAACAGCAACCAGCAGACTTTAAAATTCACATGAAAAGTCAAGAAAATTAAAGTAGGTAAATAAATTCTGAAAACCATGAATACATATATAGACTGGCATATAAGTGGGGAACCAGACATCCAAGACCAGCCAAACTGGATCTGAAACTCACATCAGAGAAGTTCAAAGGGGTTTGCCCCCTAATCCTCTTATAAAAAGGAAAAATGCAGGGGTCCTAGTTATGGTGGAAAACAGTAACACCAATTCATCAACAGATGATCTGCACTATAAAAACGTTAAAGTCCTACAGACAGAAGAAATATAAAACCAGATGGAAATATGAATCTCCCCACAGGGAGAAGAAAACTATAAATAGTAACTGCATGGGCAAATATAAAATACTTGTTCTCTAAATATCCCTCAAGATATTGATGGTCTAAACACAACAAAATAGTATGTATATGGGGTTTATAACATTTATATAAGTAAAAGGTATGATAAATAATAGCATAAAGCTTGGGAGGGGAAAAAATGAAGTATATTATAATAAGATTCATGTACTATATGTGAAGTAGTATAAAATGATTTGAAAGTAAAGATATATTACCATAAACCTGAAAGCAAACACTAAAATAGCAAAACAAAGAATTAGAGCTAATAAGGCAAAAGGGGAAATTAAAAAAATGCATACCATGTAATTCCATTTATGTAACATTTTAGGAAATGCCAACCAATGTACAGAGACAGTAAACAGATCACTGGTTGCTTTGCAGTGGGGAGTTGCAAGGGAGCTTGGGAAGAGAGTTGGAAGGAAGGTATTACCGGAGAATAAAGACAATTTTAGGTGTGGTAGAACTATTCACAATAGTGATTGTGGGGTGATTCCAAGGATGTAGGAGAAAACAAGTTGGAAGCCAAACACTGAGGAGGTTTAGCAAATCAAAGTATGATGGGATTTTAACCACAAAATACAAGTGTGTGTAATAAACCTCTATTGTTAGGATCAAATGGCTCCCTTTGCAACTCTTCAGAGTAATACCTGCACTCCCCTCATTGAATAATAATCTATTTTGATGGATAGCTGAGGAAGAGTTCAGGAGTTCTTTTGCAGGCTCAGTAGAACAAATCTGGGTTCCCCGACAATATTCTAATGAGACTTTTAAGATTCCATTTACAGTCTGTTTAGTTTGTAACTCAAATCAGTCAGATGAGATGCAATATTTAGGCCACAGCCACCTGAAATTTGCTTGGGACCAAAACTCTGCCAGGCTGCATCTGAAAAAAGCATTTGAGATTTTCTAAATGTAGATAATAAAGACCATCTAGATTTTCATGGAAATATGGAAAAGGACCCTAACAAAAACTGTACAAACAAATATACTTCTTTCACAGAGCCAGAGGGAAGGAATAAACCGATTCAGATCAATTAAAAATAATAAATAAATAAATAAATAAATGTTCAGCCCAACTTTCTCAAAGAGTAGAAGGGATGCTACTGGGGATAACTATGTTTTCCTACACATAAGCAGAGTTCAAAACCTTCAGTTATTTAGTGGTGTGAATGTACAAATTTGGGTGGCATGCAGGTGCATTTAAAATTGAAGGAGGTGATAGTATTTAACTTTGATTTAGAAATAATACAGGAAGATTCAAAGGGCTTCCCAATTCTATGACTTTAAGAGAAAACACTCTCCCTCTCCAAAGAAAGGAATCCTGGTGTGTTCAGGATGGTTCAATGCAAGTGTCTTTATGCTGCTCGCAGTATGTTCATAGGCAACAAATTTTTTTTAAGGTAGAGTCTCACAAATTTTTTATTTTTATTTATTTATTTTTTAAGGTAGGGTCTCACTCTGTCACTTAGGCTGGAGTGCAGTGTTGCTATAATCCCTTACTGCAGCCTCAACTTCCGGGGCTCAATTGACCCTCCCACTTTTGTCTCCCAGGTAGCTGGGACTACAGGCATGAGCCAAAATGCCTGGCTAATTTTTTGTAGAGATGGGCTTTCATCATGTTGTCCAGGTTGGTCTTGAACTCCTGGTCTCAAGCAATATGCCCACCTCAGCCACCCAAAGTGCTGGAATTACAGGCATGAGCCACTGCACCTGGCCATAAGCAACACTGTGATTTGCAAAAACTTACGTACTTTCTCTGAGTCACTGTCTCTATAACATGAACTGTTGACCTAGATCAAAAATGTTCAGTAGCAGGAGAAAGACATAGATGTGTATAGTATGAATAAAGCTTTCCATATAATTGCAGAGGCCACTGGACCAGTTGATTTCACATGTGTACTTTATCAGTAATCTTCTACAGATCTATTTTTTTAATCAACATTGTGGTCATTCACCCTTCACTTGAATTATTATAATAGCTTTCTGGGTAGTATAAAAATACCAGACTTTAGTATCTACTTATGCCAATTTATACTCCAGCGAGTTCCTTGATCGCGATTTATTTTTATACTTCTTTAAAGGATTAATTCCTAGTTTGTTTTTTACTGCATCAAAACTAAACTTCTCTCCTGGCTTATCCTACTCTGGTTTCTAAATCCACAATTTGTGTCTGGAATTTCTTTCTTTCTTTTTTTTTTTTTTTTAATTTTACTTTAAGTTCCGGGATACCAGTGCAGAATGCGTAGTTTTGTTACATAGGTATATGTGTGCCATGGTGGTTTGCTGCACCTATCAACCCCTCATCTAGGTTTTAAGCCCCACATGCATTAGCTATTTGTCCTAATGCTCTCCCTCCCCTTGCCTCACAGCCCTCGACTGGTCCCAGTGTGTGTCGTTCCTCTCTCTGAGTCCATGTGTTCTCATTGTTCAGTTCTTACTTATGAGTGAAAACATGCAGTGTTTGGTTTTCTGTTCCTGTGTTAGTTTGCTGATGATGATGACTTCCAGCTTCAACTATGTCCCCACAAAGGACATGATCTCATTCCTTTTTATGACTGCGTAGTATTCCATGGTTTATATATAACACATTTTCTTTATCCCGCTGATTTTTGATAGGCATTTGGGTTGGTTCCATGTCTCTGCTACTGTAAATAGTGCTGTGGAGAAATAGGAATGCTTTTACACTGTTGGTTGGAATGTAAATTAGTTCAACCATTGTGGAAGACAGCATGGAGGTTCCTCAAGGATTTAGAACCAGAAGTACCATTGGACCCAGCAATGCCATTACTGGGTACATACCCAAAGGAATATAAATCGTTCTACTCTAAAGACACATGTACATGTATGTTTATTGTATCTGGACTTTCTAATCACTCTTTGTTTTAGAGGATCACCTTTTTTTTGACCATCCCAGAGGATCCTTCAGTCTTTACACTGAAAAGATCCTCTAAGAGGTGGCAAGCAGGTTTAGAAAAATTTATATGTAATCCCAGTGAAACAAATTTCCCATAAAGTAGAAAAAGTTACTTATAATTTTAAAACCAGCCTATTCTATTCTCAAGTAGCCATTTCCTTACCTTACCCATAGGCAAAAGCAGATATTCCACAGACTTAACAATAGGCTAAAGGACAATGAATACGAAAATCTGGGAAATTAAGGTATACGTGCAGAAAAGCATGAGATAAGCCCTACAACTCTATTTGTGTATTGATTCCAACATTTTCTCTTAATAGTTTTAGAGGCTGTTGACCAGGAGCTGTAAGTGTCTATAGAGTGCTTGTACATGTTATCAGTGTATGTGTATGTATGTATATATATATATGTGTACATATGTAGTATACGTATACACACTCTGTGTATACACACACACACTCTACATGTACATACATATATATCTATACATACACACAAACTCTATTGTGTCTATATAGCACATTATGTACCTCTCACTTCACTTTTTTGCCTCTTGGGATTAGAACTCATGATATTCCAAATGACTAAGTGGTCAAAAATTGATAAAGAAGGATGATAAACAATGGCCTCGAAAATATTCACCTGGAATATACCAAACCTGAGTGATAGATTCCCATGCAACAATCATCAATCTGAATAAGCTTCTATGTATATTAGCTCTGTGAACTCTTTTAAAAGTTGAAAATATCTGTAGGTTTATAAGCTTTGTACTGGCCTCACCCTTATTTTCTGCCTGTTCTCTCTGTGTCCCATGTCTGGAATAGGCAAATCTAAATCCTTGTGACAGCACAGCCAGGAAAGGTGACATTGGTAACTTCATGTTCTCTTTCTTATATTGTGTAGATTTCCTTTCTTCTCCTCATACCAGGGCTATTGTAGAATACAATTGATTCAACGCAGTTTCACAAAATGATTATGGCTAAAAGGGAATTTAGATATCACCTCACCTAACATGGCCATTTGATAGGAAAGTAAACTGAGGCAAAGAGGATTTAGACCATATTAAAAGGGTCAGAATTTAAAACAAATCTTTGAAAGAGAAATATTTTTCATTCAACTGTCCAAATGTAATGTAGTGGTATACACATTGTGGAATGAAAGTTCAATGACATTGCAGTCTGAAAGAAACGTGTACAGCTGAAATAGTTTTGAGACATGATTCACCTACATCTTTCTAGATTGCTCAATGATATTTTTGAATCACAACCTTTAGAATTGAAGCAAGATAAATAATGGGCGATAGCAAGTGTAGTTAGAGCAACAATGGGCAGATATTTGAATCAGGTAAACTCAAGACAGTCCAGTGCATATTTTTGCTATATTTTAAAGCTTTTATGAAAGCTCCTTTACTCTTATTTCCAGTCCTCCCATTTCTGAAATTTATATTTTATAAAACTCAGCACAGAGATATAAAGAGCTAGATATAAATTTTAATTTTGGAATTACTATGTAAAGGATTGCTTAGGCTATGACACTCTGAAAAGACACATAGTTATATTTTATCCATTTCTTTATTTTTTTAACCAACAAGCAGTTAGACTGTCTATAGATAGAATAAAAATGAGGTTGCTGCAAGGTCCTTTACAGAGACAACTCACTTCTGTAGACTTACGGCAGTAGGTGTGAATATGGATACCTTAATGGAGATACGAGTATTGTAGTGATATTGATGGTGATATACCATTTCTACAGGGATGTTGACAAGTAGAAGTGCCATGGTTATTGGATAGTGAGATATCAATAGTACTTTTCCTGGGATTGATACCTGAAATTCCATTTTTACATAGGAGATGCCAATAGCCATGAGAACAAATTTACATATGTGAGTAGGCAAAGAGAGAAGAAAAAAGGACTACAGAAATCTGAAGTGGAAACATATGCAGAAACATATAGAAAGAGATAGCTAGGGAATAAATGATGATCCAATTCCATGACTTCAAAATTTAACCTAGCATGTGCCCTGATGCTGCCTTTAATGTGTACAGAACAGATCGCCCGTGCCCATCAAAGCAGCAGCATTCTTGTTTGCCTTCAGGAATGGTTCGTTTTACCAGTCTGAGGATCTCATGCAACTTTGCCTTTTCTTATTCACCTGTTTCTCAAGATAAACCTGGTAATTAATATGTGTAGCATTTAGAACTATACAAAGCTTTGCTTTAAAATTCTTTCTGAAACCACACCTGGAAGTCATGGATTATACCATCATTAGAAGGTACATCACAAGACAATGTTTAATTCATGATTGAGGAGGTGCAGGTCTCCTGAACAGACAGTGTGTGTTTGTTAAATAATGCTGCGAAACCAGACATTTTCCTGTTTTGTCCTGTTTTGAAATATTCAAAATGATTTTTCCAGGCTTTGCACATTTATTACTTTTAATGATGACTTTATTCGGATACCAATTATTTTCTTTGGGCTAGACAAGAAGTGTTAAGCCATATTTCTCCTGTAATTTAAGAAATTTTTAGTGAATGTTAATTATGCTATTTTGTACATAGGATGAAATCCAAAAAGCTGAAGCGGAGAGTTGGGAATATTGTTTTCTGACAAGCTGAGATGGTTCTTCACTGTTCATTTCCTACAAAGAACCAGAATAATAGGAAAATCTGCAATGCTGATTTCAGTGCTGAGAGATTTTAATTTTATAAAGCTCAAATTAATATGGCAAGAAATGCTTTGGAGAAAACAAACATGTGCCTAAGATATGAGGGGTGCTGATAATCTGTGTTTTAAGCTTAAAATTCTGGCTTGGTCCTATACCAGTAGGTTTGAGAACTGTTGAGTAGGTTGAGACTGTTCATTTCTGTCATGTCTGCCAGCTGACACTTGAAACTTCCTCCCTCCACTCTCACTGAGATAGAGTATTTTTAATATATTGAAACAGTGTAGAAATTTCACAAAAGTTTTAACTCACCTGGCTGCAGGAGAACTTTTGAATTGATAGAGTTGATGTCTGCTGGTAATATGAACTTAACCACATGGAAAGCCTTGCGGCAACTGCAAAGTCCTTCCACATCTATTCCCTGATGCCTACCATTCCACTAGGGGTTGCTGGAGACATTTATTTAAATATATGTAAATCGCAGGTGTTATTTAAATAGTTGTTGAATTCAGGGAAAACACCTGATCGGGTATTTTATATTTAAAACATGTTTATACTACGGTAAAAAGAATTGAAAATCTATCTTTTAAAAAGATGTTGTTTTGAGAGAAGAGAAGAAAGGTAGGGTGAAAAGGGAAGACATAAGAGGAGAGAAAAGACAGGACAAGCGAGAGAAAATGGAAAAGATTAGAGAGAAGGGAGACTGGAGAAAGGAGAGAGTGGATAGGGTAAGAAGGGAGAGATGGGAGAAGAGAGAAGCTGAAGAAGAGAGGCAGGAGTAAGGAAAACCGAGAAAGGAAAGAATGATGAAGGAAACCAGGAAAGCAGGTAGGATCTGCCAATAGCAAATAAAAATGCTCAGCGCATGGCATCTGAAGATGGGTAAAAAACAGCTTATGGTGCTCCCACTAAGGAAAAAATAAACACCAAGATATTTATTATGTTTGTCTTATACTTTAATATTTTGCCAAAATAAACATTGGTATCATCCATTATATAGTCCTAGCAAGACTTGTAACTGACAGAAACTAATCTAAAACTATTCACTAATGAATATTGAACCAATGGTTAATTACCAACCCCTATGGAAAAAGTCATGTGCACAGAGAACAGTCTATGAATGGTGACTGATTTAAACGTGGCTCTATTTAATTCTTCAAGCGTTTTAAATGGGCAATCACTTAAAATCAAACACACAGTGATGATTATAATAATCCCTTCAGTTTCTTTAAAGCCTGATTGTATATAGAGGCTTTCCAGGGTATTTTTAGATATTTTTTGAGTAAAATATTTATTTTAGGAATTTATCTTACAAATACACATATGTGTACATAAAGACACATGTTGAAGAATACTCACTGCAGTATTTTTTTCAAGTTCACTACAGCAAAAATCTAAAGAATAACCTATGGCCCATCCACAGAGCATATTTTTTTTATTGATAGTGCAGCCATACAAGTACTACTATGCAACTGGTTAAAAAGAGTGAGTTGGTTTCATATGTATAGGCATGGGCTAACCTCCAAGACATATTAAGGGCAAAACGCAAGGTGTAGAATAATGTGTACAGCATGCTATCATATTTGTGTAAATAAAAAGAAAATATACATTTATGCATATCCACATTGACTCATTCTGGAAGAATGAACAAGAAGCACCTAACAGGCAGTTAACTCTGGGAATGGGAGCCCAGTGATGGGAGGTGGGAGACCAAGATTTTACTGTGTATATTTTTGTACTGTTTGAATTTTTTTTATTACCATGTACATGTGTCACATTTTCAAAAGAATTTTAAAAAGTAAACTAATAAAATTTATTCCTAAGCTCTAAATTGAATATTAGAATTTTTAGATATTTTTAAGAATGTTCTCTCACTAGATCAACCCTGTTTTGTAGCAAACGATTAATAGTCTTATTTTACCCAGGGAGAAACCGAGTCTCAGAGAAGTTAATTAAACAGAATAAGGTCACACAGCCTATAGATTATAAATCCAAGACTAAAAGCTATCTATTTGCAGTCAGCATACTTTCCTCTCCACTGTACTCTCTTTGGAAATGTTTGGGGCATCAAAAACAGAATATGTGCTGCCTGAGTTATACGCCATTTTCTGAGTTATAATTGCAAGAAAAGTCGGAAGTGAAGCCAGCTGTTCTATCTATATGATTTTTACTCCTCCACTACCACTATTATGGCCTGAACTGTGTCCCCAAATTCATGTGTTAAACTCTCAAGCTGCAGTACTTAAGAAAGTGACAGTATTTGAAGATAAGATTCTAAAAGAGGTGATTACGTTAAAATGAGGCCTTTAGAGTAAGGCCAACCTGACTGGCATCTTTAGAAGGAAAGGAAAAGATGCCAGGAGAGCTGTGCACAGAGGGGTAGATAAGCATGTTGAGGAGGCAGCAAGAGTCCAGCCAGCCAAGGAGAAAGGTGTGGAAGCAGACCCGTCCCCTGGGGTCCCCACAGGAAATCACCCTTGCTGGAACCTTGATCTTGGCGTTCCAGCTTCCAGAACGGTGAGAACATGCATTTCTGTTACTTAAGTCACTCAGTCTGTTGTATTTTGCTATGGCAGCCCAAGCAAACTTATATAACCCCCTACACAGTCTCTTGGAACCATCCACCTGGAAGAAGTAACCAAAAGGCAGCCTGAGGAAACATCCATGCAGAGGGAAGACAGTCATTAAAATTTTGACTCCTGGAAAGTCCATCTTCCTGTCCCTGAGAACATGTCTTGGTATTTCTTGAAAATGTGAATGCTTATGGTGCTTATGACCTTTGTAGTTAGTATCCACCTTAGAAATAAAACGTAATGTTAATTATTGCCCCCTTCTAAAACATATATTTAAAGAAAAACACTGAATATATACCCAAGACTAGGATTTTCATTCTTTACTGTACTGAGGAAATGCAGTAAACATCCCATTATCCATTGATATTTGTTGATTTCAGTTGTCATCCCAATAAGATTGGCAATAACTTTCCTAACACCAATGTGGCAGAACAGACTGAGATATGAGTAATAAAACAAGTGACAGTTTAGAAATAATAAATAAAATACTACATGTGTAATGTGTATTAATGTTATGTATTACATATTTAATAGCTATATCTTGAATATAGAGATATTAACTTTCAACAATTTGCTTATTAACATGAACACACGTGGTACATGTAATATTTTTATATATTTTCTGTATGCTTTGCATTTACATATTTTACTTTTTAAAATGACTTTGCATATAATAATCAAATATAATTAATACATTATTATATGTTTAATTATATATTTTATGATATATTGATATCTGATGAAATATTAAATATCAACAGAGTATATGTATTATATTAGTACAGTCATGTATTGCTTAATAAAAGGAATTCCTTACGGGAAATGTGTCATTAGGTGATTTTGTCATCATTGTGCAAACATCATACGGAATGCTCACACAAACCTAGGTGGCATAGCCTACTACACTAGTCTACATGTTATAACTTATTGCTCCTAAGCTACAAACCTGTACAGCATGCTACTATACTGAATACCATATATAATTGTGACACAATAGTAAGTATCAGTGTATCCAAACATGTCTAGACATAGGTAATGAAAATAGAGTACTATAATCTTATGTGACCACCATCTTATAGGCGTTCCATCATTGACCCAAACGTTGTTATGCAGCGTGTGACTATATTATATGAACAGAAAATATTTTGCTTAAATATTTAAATAATCATAATATTGTATTGCCTTACATGTAGATATTTCACTTTTTAAAATTATGTGAAAATTATTAATGTAATTTTGCCATAAATATTATAATTATAATATTGTAGAGAAATATTTTACTAAATATAAAGGGAAATAAAAATTATCCTTTCTTTTTACTTCTTTAAGTGATGCCACACATATTATATTCCAGGGGGCTCCTAATTGTAACAACTATTTTTAAATAGCTTCTGTGTGCAAGTGACCTTAGGGGCTCTTCACGTAAGCATAAGGTTAGGTCCAGTAGTTCCCCCTTATCCCCAGTGGATCCCTAAAACTAAGGATAGTACTGAACCCTATATATGGTATGCTTGTTCCTATATATACTTAACCATTAACAAATTTATAAATTAGGCACAAAGGATTAACAATCATAACTGGTAATAAAATAGAAAATTGCAACAATATAATGTAATAAACGTTTCGTGAATGTGGTCTTTCTCTTTCAAAATATCTTCTTGTACTGTACTTCCCCTTCATCTTGTTGTAATGGTATGAGATGATAAAATGCCTACGTGATGCGATGAAGTGAGGTGAATGACATAGGCATTGTGACATAGCGTTAGGCTACAGTTGACTTTCTGAAGATTCTCCAGTCGGAGGACCATTTGCTTCGGGTGATCCTGGATCGTCAAGCCATGTTGATGTTGATTGGATGTCAGGAGCAGACGATGTCCAGCACTAACAGGTGGGGAACATATACCCCACAGATATGCTGGACAAAGGAATGAGTCACATTAGGGGTGAGATGGAAGCAGGAATCATGCTACTCAGAACAGTGTTCCATCTAAAACTTATAAATTGTTATTTGTGAACTTTTTCATAAAGGTCATAATATTTTCAGACCACAGTTGAGTGTGGGTAACTGCAAGTGTAAGAAACAAAATCAAGGATAAGGGGGAGCTAATGTCCTTCCCCAAGCCTTCATATACTAACAGTGGACAATGTTAGCATTTCATCTGCAGCAGATTTACTCCAGGAAAATTGATGTAAAACATGATGTCCATCCAATATAGTGAGGCCTTTGGGGAAATGCCTGCTCCATTGTACTAGCTTAGGCAGGCTACATGCACTCAACTTCTCTCTGGAACCCCTTGAATGTAACTTAATTAATTTCATCCAAGTTGGAGATAAATGCTGAGGCTGCTGCTGGGACTTCGGTGGAGAAGTGAGGGGCAGATTCTGCTCAATCGTCCTGATAGGAAGAAATGGTGAAAATCCCTGGGAACTGGATCATCCTGATGAGAGAGAGGCCCAAGAATAATAAGAATGGGAGATTTCTGTTTAAATCAATCACAGCAATAATTCTCAAATGTAATCCCCAGACCAGCAGCCTCAGCCTCACCTAGGGACTTGCAGAAATACAGATTCCTAGGTACCACATCAGACACATTGTGTTAGAAACTACATCAGGTCCTGCAATGTGTGGTTAAACAAGCCGTCCAGGTGATCCTGATTCACTCTAAAGTTTGGGAATCTAAGAATCACTACATTAGAGAATGAAAGGAGACACAGGTGTGAGCCTTTGAATTGTTGTGGTGAGTAGGAATATGTTTTGTTTCCGTGTATTACCCATTCAGTCAGAGCAAGGACTAACAGCCAGATGTATTGATGTCACCCAATTGACCCGTGCCCTATGACATTCCTGTGTTCCATAAAAACTGTTTCCAAGCATAGGTCCCTTTCTTCCTTCCCATCTTTCACTTTACAAACCACTGCCTTGTAAAGTACTATCAACAACAAGGGGAATATGCAATATTGTCAGGAATTAAGCCCAAGGAGAAGTCAAAAGCCATCTTTTTCCCGTAAAGTCATTGTGCACTTGCCTCATTTCCTGCTGACTGACTTTCTCTTGGGAATAGGAACCAGGAAATCTTTGAGGCAGGTGCAGTTATAACAGATGTTACAAAGCCGGAGACAGCTCACTGCTTCCCCTATTTGTTATTAACAGTATAATTCTTCCACACAGAAATCATCTTGAGTCTTCACAGAGAAATGCCTCTTTCCTAATAAGATTGTGCATTTTCCTCCACGAAGCTGTACTTTCTTCTGTTTCCTCCACGAAGCTGTACTTTCTTCTGATATCTCAGAAAACCTCTTCTGTTGCCCATGGACTGTCAGGCGACATTAAAGTTTGTTTTGCTTCCATCTCATATAAACTGACCTTGCCTAGGTACTCTCTCAGCCTCACTGACATAAAACTTCAATTACCTAGAAACAGAGTGTTTCTTGTAAGAACCTTCTACTCACCAGATGTTCTTCCTTTCAATTGACTATAGCATAAAGAGACAAAAGAAGAGGTAAAATTTTCTGGAATTTATATTTTTAGAAGGCACAATAAGAGTTGATACACAGAAGCAAAGAAGGCAGAATGAAATCATTATTAAGCATGGGCTTTGGAGCCAGCTTGGCTCAGCTACCTAATGGCTGTGTAAACTTGGGCAAGTTATTTAACCTCTCTTTTTCCAAAAGATGGGGGTAATAGCTCCTGGCTCACTGGACTGTTGGGAGGATTAAATTGTTAATTTACAAAAGTTATTATTAAACTGAGAAGTATTAAGCACTCTATAAGTGGCTGTTGTTATTATTGGTATTATTGACCTAATATGCCACAGGATATTATATTGAAAGAATGACCCAATTATATTTACCATTTCTTATTTATCAGTGCAGGGAAATAAGCTGCTGTAGAAAATGGGAAGCTAACCTTCAATATCTCTTTTTCAGAAAAGACATCGCCTTCCCATGCTGCCTAATTAACTCTCTTGTTAGTTAAATTTTCATTCACATTTGCCTTAACTCCTCACCTGAATTATCTGATCTTTGAGAGCAGGTGCTCCGCTTTAGTCTTCTTTGTACAAGCCAGAATAGTAAGCAAAGCAACTTTCATATTGTAATAGATTTAATTTTCAGAAAGACATTTTCCAGTGAACCAGAAAGAATAATTACCCCTAAATCCTCACTCATCCTGGCACATTGAGGTTTTACCTTGTATTCTGTTTCTCAGGGCACACCCATGGTGCTGTGAAAGGCACTTGCTTCCACAAGGCTTACTTCTGTGTTATGATCTTCAAAGTGACATCCAGGTCAAACACTCAGGTGATAGAAGACTCAGGGACCACATCTAGATGAAGGAGGCTCTCTGGGAAATTCAAAACATGACTATAATGTGGTACTTGCTCCTCCTCACTCCCAAATATTATTCTGAACTGCCAGACTTTAACATCAATAAGAGATTTTTGGAACATTAGCTAGTCCAGTGAGAAGTAGTATGGATGTTTAAAAAAGGAGAGCTCAAAGTGGGTGGTCAGAAAAGTCTTCCTGAAATGGCTGCACACTGAGCTGGATCTTCTACACCAAGGAGCCTGCAGTTCCCCCACCTGTCCCGATGAGTGTGACTCACATCACGTAGCACAGCCCTTCCATATTACAATGCTTACAATGGATACTCCAACAGAAAAAAAGAATCTAGAAAAAGTTTTATATGATAATGACCAACAAAAACATGTCATGTAGTACTAAATGCTGTAACTAGTTCTTCATTAAATAAATCCAGTAATTACAAAGAACTTTAAAGTAATCTTCCTTTTCCCAAACCATGCAGCCTCAAAAGTGCATAAAAGGATTTCTCCTTTCTGAAGCTTTATATTAAGGCTGCTACATTTTAAAATGTAGAGGACTTTTTTTTATTTTCTTCTTCTTTTTTTTTTTTTTAATGAGAAAGCTTCTTTAAACCAGGTGTTCTGCTACTCTGGCATTTTGTATATAAAATTCTATGATAATCAACATGTCATGTGAGACTTAAAGTCCTGCAGGAAACTCTTGTGATTCTAAACCATTAAGTGCCTGGAGAGTTGGGGCTCTATCTAATTTGTAATTTATCCCCAGCTTTTCAACATACCAAGCACTTAATAGATATATAGTGAATCAATTAAATCAACTAATTTATGTTAAGGTTAAATTAATTGCTATGTGTTCTCTTGTAGTCTGTTTTTAAAAGCTAGTTGACTACATATAATATGTTGGGTTTTACTTGTAACCTCATGGTAACTCACTATCAATCATAAAAGTTAACAAGAATATCCAATGGTAACCAACAATGTTTGACAACAAAATTTTAAGGTAGCCAGCCAAAACAATGATGATGATGAATAACTCTGTCAGTCTGTAGCACATTCTGTAATTTGGAAAATGCATGAGTATTTTGCCTCCTGTACCAGGATCCTCATGGCAAAATCAGGTGAATTTTGATTCCTCTCTTTACTTCAGATAATATATATTTTTTTCATTTGCAGAATGAATCTACCAGGAGCACAGACTTTGGGATCACCATTGTGTCTGTTTTAAGTGTGCGTGTGTGTGTGTGCACGTGCGCATGCGTGCGTGTGTCTTCCATTTTGAAACAATAAGCTAGTGGTTTTCTAACCTGGCTTCTCATTAGAATTCATGCAGAGTTTAGCTTATAAAAAGTACACCAGTTTTGGCCCCCACCCACCAGGACTGAACTGAAGTCTCTAGTGATTAAAACTGACAGATAAAATACAAGATACTGAATTAAATTTGGATTCTACATAAACAGTGAAAAAAAATACAAGTATGTTCCATAATATTTAGAACGTACACTTAAAAATTATTTTTATCTAAAATTTAAATGTATCCGGGCATCTCAGTTTTTTGTTCTATTTTATTTTTGTCTTCTTCTTTCCTGTCTAGTAAATTAACTCTACCAAGGGTCCAAATTGGGAATCTCTATTTTCAGCAATTCCCATGCTAATTATATTAAATCTAGGTCTTTTTTTCCCAAATTTTCTTCTTTATTTATTCTTCTTTTTTAAATTCATATTTCAGACTTAAACCGAAGCACTATCACACAATATACATGTTTTTAAAATTGAGGAGTTAAATATTTCTTATATAAGTAACCATCTCAAAAGTGTATTCATGATTCCAGGTAAGCGTTTTTATTTTAATAAAATGCTTGTTTCAAATGTCTTATTATTTACATTGTATCCATCATTGTATTCAAAAATATTTCTACACTATATTTACTGTTACATGAGATCATGGCGATCCAGTTTGGGATTTTTAAATGATATTAAACCCCTAGTCAAGAAAATAAGATGAAAAGCATGCAAGGTGGTCTTTTCCTGCAAGATAATAAAGTTCTATCTTTTCTCCAGTAGAAGTAGTGCAGTTTCAAAAGTTTTATCACAATTATTTAGAATGAGGAAAATAATAACTAGAGCTTCTTTCAAAATTACCCTAAAGGGGAGGAAAAATAAAAATCAACCCAGAGAAGAACAAATGGGCAATTAAGGCAAGTGCAACCAGGTCTCAGGGAGGAATTTCTTAATCCCCACAGCTTGTAATCGGGGGTTAGGACCCAAGAGTGTGAAAATTGTCAGTGCAGCAACACAAAATCCTGGAAAGACTCAGTAGGTGCAGAGACTCGAGATGGTATATGAGCAGTTGCTGAGAACCTAGAGTCTGGGAAACACAGCACATTCCAACACAAATCCCGGAGCCCAGGTACCATGGGAACAGCTGATCCTCCACAAACATCTATTGATATGTGGAGATGAGATGGGCCCTGACATGCTGTCTGGATATTATGAGCAAGGTGGAGGGTAACCAAGGGGACCAGGCCAACAGCATGGAGCTGCATAAATCCCAGCTGTGAATTCAAAAGGGATGCCTAGGCTTGAATATTCCTTTTGCCCCCAGCTAATGTGTGTACTGACCTCTGCTTAAAGAGCTTGGAAATATTTTTAAGTAATTTGGTTCCCATAAATAGAATGTCCTCTTCAGGTGTTACGTGAGGAAGAACTAAAAATAATTAGTGCAAATGATCCTCAGACCTTCCACCACCTGAAAGAGCTTTAAAAAAAAAGGGAGGTGGCGGGGAAAGGAATAAAGTTTGGTGCTTTAAAAAGAAAATAAAAAGTGTTTTGTACTGGAGGAAGCTGGTAGAAAGTTTATCTGAAAAAAAAATCTGATAAATTGCATCATTTAAGCACATTCCATGTTACTCATTAAACATATTTTTTAAGTTCATTTGGTATGATCTCTAAGTGGTTGCTTGAGGAAATGTGTTGCAATTTGTTTTATATACCTGGCTTTAAATACTATGAAACTTCCACTTAAAAAAATAGATACATTGTGTAGCATTTAAAACACTTGCTTATTTTAAGTCTTTCCGGCTTCTTAATTCAGTTTCAAGCTGAAATCCTATGAGGGGCAAATTTCATTCAAATTTGGCAAAAGGCAGCTTTGGTTAAGGTAAAAGGGAGAAAAACATATAAACAAGCAATGAAATCAGACTTCCTGGAGTGCTGAGTTGTGAAACTTTTGATTTTGAGAAATACTAGGTATTTATTAGGCGTTTCACTGATGCCTTCTTAGTGCTCTGTGAAATACAAACAGGAAATAAAAATGGGAATCTATGGAGAAAAAAAGGAAAAACTGAAGTCTCCTTCATGTTTTCCTCTTTCAAAAATTACCAGTAATCTATCCAGGGGACCTCATGGGTTGTCTCAACCATATACGTTGCCTTCAAAATACTTGAGAAGATAATACTGGAGGGAAAAAACCATGATTTCAAGTCACAATATTTCAGTGACAAAAGCTGACCACAGTAACACACAGATCATGAACAACACTAGCCTCTGATCCATCTCACTTTTGGGTTTGAAGATTCCTGTTTGGGGACATGTACCTGGATATAGGTGTTGGGGATGCTCATCACCTATTTTGCCTGAGAGCAGACAAAAATTCAGAACTAAATGTGTCTTATTTTTCCCTTCCAGTCTCTTGTCCTGTCTAATATCCTATCTGGCTAAATATTTTTACAAAGTGTCATGTTTACTCTCAAGTAACTAAAGTCAGAAATGAAAGTAGGGATATAATTACCAAATCTATATAAGAGAGTATTAGGAACAATTGTATGTCAACAAATTGGCTAATCTAGACAAAATGTGAAATTCATATAAATATACCAAGAATAAATTATAAAGAGATAGAAAATCCAAATACATCTAACTAGTTGTGCGGGGCGGTGGGGGGCGGGGGGCGGGTGCTGAATTAACAATCAAAAACCTTTTGACAAAGAAAAACCCTAGACCTAGGCTTCACTGGTGAATTCTACCAAATACTTAAAGAAGAAATCACAACAGTTCTCTCCAAACTCTTCTAAAGAAGAGGGAACACTTTCTAACTCATTCTATGAGGCCAGGACTACCCTGATACCAAAGCCAGACAAGACATTATAAGATATATGTTATAAACATTTATGTAAAAATCCTCAGTAAAATCCTAGAAAACTGAATTCAGCAGCATATTAAAGTGATTATACAACATAACCAAGTGAAATTTATTGAGATACAGGATGGTTCAGCATATGACAATAAATTATTGTAATATGCCACATTAACAGAATAAAAGGGTGAAGCATGAGAATATCAATAGACACAGAAAAAGCATTTTATACATTTCAATATCCCTCATGATAAAAACACTCAACAAAATGAGAACAAAGGAAAGTACTTCAACAAAATAAAGACCACATATGAAAAACCTACAAACAACATCACACTCAGTGTGGAAGAACTGAAAACTTTACTTCTAAGATCAGGAACAAGACAAAGATGCTTGCTTTAACACTTACAGTCAGCATAGTATTAGATGTTTTAGCCAGAGCAATTAGGCATGAAAAATAAATAAAAGGTATCCAAAAGTAAAATTATCTTTGTTCACAGATAATACAATCTTATATGTAGAAAACCTTGAAGAGTTCACAAAAACCGTTATAATAAAGAAATTCAGTAATGTATCAAGCAGAGCACAAAACCAACAAACAAATCAGTTGTATTTCTATAAGCTAAAAATTAATAATCAGAAAAGAATATTTAGAAAGAAATTTCATTTATAATATCATCAAACAAAAAACTTAGGAATCAACTTAACCAAACAGATAAAAACTTGTAAACAGAAAGCTATAAAACATTACTGAAAAAAATCAAAGAACACAAGTAAATGAAAAGACATGCTGTATTTATGAATTGAATACTTACTACTGTTAAGCTATCAATACTACCTAAAGCTACCTACAAATTCATTGCAATCCCTATCAAAATACCAATTTTTTTGTAGAAATAGAAAAAAATCCATTTGAAAATATGTATGGAATCTCAAGAGATCCTAAATAGCCAAAACTATGCTGAAAAAGAACAAAGTTAGAGGACTCGTGCTTTCTGATTTCAAAATTTACTATATAGCTACAGTAATCAAAACAGCGCAGCACTTGCATAAATACAGAGATTTTCACAGATAGGAGAGAATAGAGAACTCAGAAATAGGGACTGTAAACTAGTTCAACCATTGTGGAAGTCAGTGTGGTGATTCCTCAGGGATCTAGAACTAGAAATACCATTTGACCCAGCCATCCCATTATTGGGTATATACCCAAATGACTATAAATCATGCTGCTATAAAGACACATGCACACGTATGTTTATTGCGGCATTATTCACAATAGCAAAGACTTGGAACCAACCCAAATGTCCAACAATGATAGACTGGATTAAGAAAATGTGGCACATATACACCATGGAATACTATGCAGCCATAAAAAATGATGAGTTCATGTCCTTTGTAGGGACATGGATGAAATTGGAAACCATCATTCTCAGTAAACTATCGCAAGAACAAAAAACCAAACACCGCATATTCTCACTCATAGGTGGGAATTGAACAATGAGATCACATGGACACAGGAAGGGGAATATCACACTCTGGGGACTGTGGTGGGGTGGGGGGAGGGGGGAGGGATAGCTTTAGGAGATATACCTAATGCTAGATGACGCGTTAGTGGGTGCAGCGCACCAGCATGGCACATGTATACATATGTAACTAACCTGCACAATGTGCACATGTACCCTAAAACTTAAAGTATAAAAAAAAAAAAAAAAGAAATAAACCCTTGAAGATGTGGTCAAATAATTCTTAACAAGAATACCAAATTCATTTAAAAAGGAAGACCATATTTTTAACAATGGCACTGGGAAAACTGGACGTCCACATACAAAAGAATGAAGTTGGTCTCTTCCCTTAAGTCCAATAACAAAATTAACTAAAAATAGACCAAAGACCTAAACAGAAGAGTTAAAGTATAAAACTCTTATATGAAAAAAAAATAGGAGGGAAATTCCATGACACTGGATTTAGCAATTATTCCTTGGATAAGACACAAAAGCACAGGCAATGAAAGGAAAATAATATTAATAAATTGGACTTCATCAAAATTAGAAACGTTTTGCATCAAAACACACTAATTAACAGATTGAAAAGGCAACTCACAGAATGAGAGAAAATATTTGCAAATCACATATCTGATAAGGGATTGATATCCAGAATATATAGAGAATAATTAATATTCAACAACAAAAAACAAAACCCATTTGAAAAATGACCAAGGGTCTTGAATAGACATTTCTTTAAAGAAGACATACAGGTGGCCAATAGGCATGTGAAAAGATGCTCAATATCCCTAATCATTAGGGAAATATAAATAAGAATCATGAGATACAAGTTCAAATCTATTAGAATGGCTATTACTGGAAAAGAAAAACAATTAGTGTTGGCGTGAATGTGAATAAATCGGAAGCCTTGTGCATTGTTGGCTGAAATGTTACCTAGTTCAGACAGCCATTATGATAAACAGTATGATTTTATAAAATTATGATTTTCAAAAAATTAAATGTAGAAGTATAATTTGATTCTAAAATTCTACTCACATACAAAAAATTTGAAAGCCAGGACTTCAATAGACATTTGTATGCCAATGTTCATAGCAACATTATTCCTAATAGCCAAAAGATGAAAACTGCTCAAATTTCCCCCAATGGATGAATGATTAAACAAACTGTGCTTTGTGCACACAAGGAAATATTATGCAACCTTAAAAAGTAATGAAATTCTGATACATGCTACAACATGGATGAAACTTGAAGACACTATGCTAAGTGAAATATCAGATACTGTATGATTCCACGTATGTGAAGTACCTAGAGTAGTTAAATTCGTAAAGACAGGAAGTAGAATTTGCTAGGGCCTGGGAGAAGGGGAGAATGGGAAGTTATTGTTTTCTAGGTTCAGAGTTTCATTATGGAATGACAAAAGTATTTTAGAGATGAATGGTAGTGATGATTGAACAACAGTGTAAATGTACTTAATGGCACTATACTGTAATGCTTAAAAATGGTTAAGATGGCAAAATTTATATGATGTATATTTTCCCACAATTTACAAACATTCTTTAAAAAGGTGAATGGGTAGGTCATCTACATCAAAAGAATAAGTAGGTAGGTTATAGATTATTTCCTGACACAGAAGCCACCAGTAACATAAGTAGGTGGATATACACTCCCCTAACTATAGTGTTATAAAATTGTACCAAAAAAAAAGCTATTGTACACAGAGACAACAAAGAATGCAAGAATGATGGGAACTGTGAAAGAAGTGGAAGGAAACTGGGAAGAAATACTGGAGCAGAAGAAAAATTAGAAAAACAGTTTCGTGCCAGCTTCTGGAAAGCCTTGAATGCCATACTAAGAATTTTGGATTTTATTCTTCAGGTAGTGAAGAGCTTCAGCTTTTTACTAAAATAATGGCTGACCAATGCTACTGGTACAAAAACAGATACATAGACCAATGGAACAGAATAGAGAACTAAGAAATAAGACTGCACATCTACAACCATCTGATCTTCAACAAACCTAACAAAAGCAAGCAATGGGAAAAGGATTTCCTATTTAATAAACGGTGCTGGAAGAACTGGCTGGCCATATGCAAGAAATTGAAACTGGACCTCTTCCTTACACCTTATACAAAAATTATCTCAAGTTAGATTCAAGACTTAAATGTAAAACACTAACTGTAAAAAGCCTAGAAGAAAATGTAGGTAATACTATTCAGGACATAGGCACAAGCAAAGATTTCATGATGAAATCACCAAAAGCAATTGCAACAAAAGCAAAAATTGACAAATGAGATCTAACTAAATGAAAGCGCTTCTGCACAGCAAAAGAAACTATCGTCAGAGCAAATAGACAACCTACAGAGTGGGAGAAAGTTTTTGCAATCTATCCATCTGACAAAGGTCTAATATCCAGAATCTACAATGAACTTACACAAATTTACAAGAAAAAAAAACCATTAAAATGTGGGGAAAGGACATGAAAAGACTCTTCTCAAAAGAAGACATTCATGAGGCCAATAAACATACGAAAAAAAGCTCAATTTCACTGATGGTGAGAGAAATGCAAATCAAAACCACAATGAGATACCGTTTCATGCCAGTCAGAATGGCAATTATTAAAAGTCAAGAAACCAGAAATGCTGGTGAGGTTGTAGAGAAATAGTAAATTAGAAAATAGTAAATTAGAATAGTAAATATAAAATGTAAATTAGTTCAACCATTGTGGAAGTCAGTGTGGCAATTCATCAAAGTTCTAGAACCAGAAATACCATTTGACCCAGCAAGTCCATTACTGGGAATATATCCAAAGGAATATAAATCATTCCATTATAAAGATACATGCATGTGTATGTTCATCGCAGCACTATTCACAATAACAAAGACATGGAATCAACCCAAATGCCCATCGAGGATAGACTGGATAAAGAAAATATAGTACATATACACCATAGAATACTATGCATCCATAAAAAGGAAGAGATCATGTCTTTGCAGGGACATGGATGGAACTAGAAGCCATTATCCTCAGCAAACTAATGCAAGAACAGAAAACCAAACACCACATGTTCTCCCTTGTAAGTGGGAGCTGAACAATGAGAACACATGGACACGGGGAGGGGAACAACACACACTGGGGCCTGTTGTGGGGGGTGAGGGCATGGGGAGGGAAAGCATTAGGAAAAATAGCTAATGCACGCTGGTCTTAATACCTAGGTGATGGGTTGGTAGGTGCAGGAAACCACCATGGCACACTTTTACCTATGTAACAAACCTGCACATCCTGCACATGTACTCCAGAACTTAAAATAAAAATAAAATTAAATAATTTTTAAAAAGGCTTCATGAATTAAAAAAAGAAAGAAAGAATGGCTGGAACAGACAAATACCAGGGATAAAATTCCTATCAAAACATGAACGATGGAGCTAAACTGTATGCAGGAAACCAACCAATTATGCAGTGAGAGAAAGGGAAGTATAAATTTATGAGTGAGCAATAAAATATATTTATGGAAATCGATTTTCTCAAAATAACTCTAGTGAGTTTAAACCTTTCCTTTCCGGTATTTTTATTAAAACATAAAGAAGAAAATACCCACAAGTCTGAGGTTTATGCTGTAAGCATAATCTCCATTTGTTGCAGTTGTTTACAAGAGTGTGCCCGTTTCTAATGTTACGATGTAACTAAAGTTATGATTTCACTCCAGTATAGCCCTTCTTACCTGAACAAAGAGATCATAAAGAAAGTAAAGACACCTACTCTAACCACAAACAGAAGATAAAGTATTATGACAGACTTTAATTTTATGTAAAAATTTTCAAGCAGAATAAATGAAAATAAATTAATATGTATAACATATAAAATACACCCCACATACATTTGCAAAACATAATATTTGAGCTGTGACAATTAAACAGGAAACAAGATGCTCAAGAAAATATGAGGTTTAAGGCCCCCGAAGTATTATTGCTGGACATTTTACTTTTCATTTCTTCAGATTACAGGTTAGGTTTCTAGAGTAGTCGCTTACCCTGGACTTGTCCTTATTCAATCTAGAAAGACTGACTTTTCCTAATATGATGGTCTGCTATAACATGAAGGCATTGGCCAATCTGTGACGTCAAAGGTAACTTCTTGACATTGAGACATCCCTTGAATTACACACTACTTGGTGGACAGTCATCTACTCCCACAGCCCCTCTCTGGTACATGCCATCTCTTAGTAGAGATGAGTGGCTCCTTGCCACATATCAATAGCTGTGTCATGGGACGTCGGCAGCATTCATCACCTACCCCATGATCTTGACCAATTCTGGCCAGAGACAAGTGACAACTTGCCTTATTTTGAAAGGATGCATGTTGCTGCTCTGGCCTTGAGCATACCAGAAAATCTCAGACCTCAAATGCTCCCAGCCTCAATAAGATATCATGAGGTCACGGATTCATCACATATGTTCTTTCCTTTTTGCTATTTTTCCATTATTTTTAATATATACTCAATGAAGTCATCCTAAAAGGAAAAACTAGTATTACTAGTTCAATGGTAAAGAATAAAACGTTGTTCCTCCTGATGTGTGAGCATCCTAATGCTTTACAAGCCCTTATAGAAATTCAAAGTAAGAGCAATGACAACATCTAGAACTTTAAAAGAAACTGTATTTATTAGAAAAAAAGAAAGGAGATACAAACTGAGCAGGGGGTAGGAAGAGGAGCAAGAAGAACTAAGGGGAGGAGCAATGAGCTCTTCTGAAAGGGCAGACTCCAGAAAAGGAACAAAACTGCTGCAGACTTGAAAGCACCACTGTCTATATTATTGTCTGAGTCTTGGAAATCTTATGTTGAGTACAATAAGCTTCATTTATATAAAATTCTAAAATAAATCTATGGTGAAAAACATCAGAAGATTGCTCTTAGGGAACTTCCTGGGATGATGGTAATTTTCTCTACCTTGATAGAGGTTTGGGTTACACAGGTCTATGTATTTAAAATATGCTTACTATTCCATTCCACTTCAAAAGACATATTGAAATGTAGTTGATAATATGCTTGCTAAAGTGTTTAGGGGAAAGCATCCTGACATCTGCAATTTACTTTAAAATGTACAAAAAACTAAGATGAAGTATAGAAAAATGGAGGGATCGATAAATGGATAGGTTTGTGAAAAAGCAATATAGAAAAATGTTCATGTTAGAGTCTAGGTAGTTGATATGCAAGTGTTTACTGTAAAATTTATTCAACTTGGCTTATGTCTGAAAATAGTTGTATAAAATGTTGGTGAAAAATGTATTGTCGGCCGGGCGCGGTGGCTCACGCCTGTAATCCCAGCACTTTGGGAGGCCGAGGCGGGCGGATCACGAGGTCAGGAGATCGAGACCATCCCGGCTAAAACGGTGAAACCCCGTCTCTACTAAAAATACAAAAAAATAGCCGGGCGTAGTGGCGGGCGCCTGTAGTCCCAGCTACTTGGGAGGCTGAGGCAGGAGAATGGCGTGAACCCGGGAGGCGGAGCTTGCAGTGAGCCGAGATCCCGCCACTGCACTCCAGCCTGGGCGACAGAGCGAGACTCCGTCTCAAAAAAAAAAAAAAAAAAAAAAATGTATTGTCATTCCTTTTTTTAAAAAAAAATAAAGATCCATTTGTATTAATAATCATTCTCTTTTTATGATGCCAATGCTTTTGGTAAAGTTAGGGGCATCAAAATCATTAATAGATGTCTTAGTCTGTTCAATCTTCTGTAGCAGAATACTATAGTCTAGGTGGCTTAAATAATAGAAATTTATTTCTCACAGATCTGGAAGCTGAAAAATCCAAGATCAAGGTGCTGTCACATACGGTGACTGGTGAGGGCTGCTTGCTGATTTATAGATGGCACTTTCTTGCTATAAACTCACTTGGAGGGAAGAATGAGGCAATTCTCTAGAGCCTCCTTTATAAGTGCACTAATCTGATTCATGAGAGCTGAGCCTTCATGACCTAATCACCTTCCAAAGGCCCCACCTCCTAATAATATCACATTGGAAAGTAGGTTTCGACATATGAATATGGGGGAAGACAAACATTCAGACCACAGCAGTATATTTATATTAATTCACTCTGTGAGAATTAATATCTAATGAGGTTGAGAAAAATAGAACCAGATAAAAAGAACTTAATTGTTGTTAATGATGGTGCGGGTGGAAACGATGGTGGTGGCAGTGTTAATAGTGGTGGCTAAGACTTGGATTTTACAGCAAGGTCAAAAAAGTATAAGTCAGCACCAGAGAACAGAGGGTAGATAAAACAAGACGGAAAAATACCCAAAATCAATTTCACCGACTTCAAAATTTGCCCTAAGTTTGTCAAAAGAATGGAAAAGACAAGGAAAGAAAGGGAGAAAGAAGGTTCAATTAAGGTTTTAAACGAAAGAAGGAAAGAATTGTTGTATTGAATGTAAGTTTCAGGAATAAACTATAGAAGTTCAAAAATATTTTGTATTGTTGAAGAATGAGTAGCTAAATGAATGACCAGTGGAATCTGACAATGAAAAGAGGAGATATCTCCTAATATGCTGTGTTTTTAGAATAAAACTTATACTTTCACAACCAGTCATCTTCTATTCTCATATAAAAGAAGAAATTTCTCATTTATGAAACTAAACTTGCCAGCCATGCTCTCAATGGGTCCTCTGTCTCCCAAGGATTGCAAACCCTGATTCCTATAAGAAGGTAATTTGTTTGGGTAGTAGTCCTGTTAATGACAAGAGCCAATAAGCAGATTGCATTGTCACCAGGCATGGCTGTAGTCCATTTCCAAACATAGAACAAAAAGACTAGCACTAGTAGTCCCAGACCCTCTAGGTCTTAACCCTCAGTATGGCATGCTGGCTTCATAACTTCCTCCTCATATCTGCAATTTCTCATTTTTTTTAAATTTCTTGACCCTTTCCATGAAATGTATTACCATCTCAGTTATCTTAAAGAGAGAATAAAAGAACAGTGTCATTTTTTGCTCTCCAAGTGTTTGGAAAAAAGTAATACACACTGTCTGTCCCTATGTCTTTACCATCCACTCTCCCCTAATTCCTTAGAATCTGACTTCTGGTTCCACTTCTCTACTCACACTTTTTTTGCTGTTGTCTAAATCTGTGTCATTCAATGTAGTAGCCACAAACCACAGGGTGCTGTTATTGAGCACTTGTGGTTCTTTAGTATTGAGATATGCTGTAAGTATGAAATACACACTGGATTTCAAAGTACAGAATCAAGAATGCAAAACATAAATTTGTATATTTATTACATGTTAAATGATAATATTTTTATATAAAGGGTTAAATAAAATACATTTTAAACTTTATCTGTTTCTTTTTAATGTGACTACTACTAGGATATTTAAAATTGTATGCATGGCTCACGTATCAGAAAATGCTTATATATTAATGGTCTTTTCTCAGCCATTTGTTTGTTTTCCCTGCAGCAGTTAAGGATGTTAATTGCCCCCACCTCCCACCTCTTTCTTGAAATTCTCTTCCTGTGTATTTCACTCATACCTCCTCCACCCCCATGCAGACAGCTCATTGGGCTCCTCTGTCTCAGTGAAACACTCTCCTCCTATTTCTACCTGCCAAACCAACCAAAATGCTGCCTCTTCTATGAAAGCCTTTCCTCTTTACCCCACACCACAATGTGGAAGAATTTGCTCCAATTCTTTACCACTGAAGGGAACATATTCTAGCACTCAGCACTTTAAAGCTATTAGTATTTGCATGTGTGAGTTAGTTTATGAAACTGACAGATCTTGGAGGGCAGGAGCCAAATCTGATTACCAGCCTCTAGGAAATGATTAATCAAGAAGGCAAATAAAGAAGAAGATAAAATACAGAAAGGAAAAAAAGGAAATAGCATACTTATATTTTTTGCATTATTCTCCTTTTTAACAACGTATTTATTTTAACTGTCACATAATATGTGACAAGGGGTATATATGTATGGGGTACATAGTGATATTGTGATATATACAATGTATAATGATCAGGTCAGGGTAATTCATGTATGTGTCAACTCAAACATTATCATTTCTTTGTGTTGAGACCATTCAATAACCTGTCTACCAGCTATTTGAAAATATCCCTCTTTGTATTCATTCTCTCTCTGTCTCTCTCTTTCTCTAACCCAGGGGTCCCCAACCTCTGGTTTGTGGGCTGTTAGGAACTGGGCAGTACACAGGAGGTGAGTAGTGGGCAAGCAAGCACTACCACCTGAGCTCCACCTCCTGTCAGATCAGAATGGCATTAGATTCTTATAGGAGCACAGACCCTATTATGAACTCTACATGCAAAGGATCCAGGTTGCGTACTCCTTACGGGAATCTAATGCCTGTTAATCTGAGGTGGAACAGTTTCATCCCCAAACCCTATCCCCCTCCACACCCCATCTCGTGGAAAAATTGTCTTTCACAAAACTGGTCCATGGTGCCAAAAGTCTGGGCTGCTGTTGCTCTAACCACGTATATACCTACATCTATATCTAACTGTCTATACTGATTGTAGATACAGAGATAGGTAGGTAGGTACGATAAAGAGGTTGAGCTTTCCTAATCTAAAAATCCAAAATCAGAAATTCTCCCAAATTCAAAACCTTTCGAACACCGACATAATGTCACAAGTAGAAAACTCCATACCTGACCCCATGTGACATGTGGCAGTCAAAATGCAAGTGCGCACAGTTTATTCAGCATCCGCATGGGGGAAATAGAACCCTCCTACCCAACTTCAGTTTTGGTGTATTTTCTCTGTACATGCCCAGATTCCCTCATGCAGGCTTTCCCACAAATGATAATAAAATGGCGTGTGTGCAGTGGGACACACCAAGGGCAGTTTCCCATGATGCCCCATCAGGCCAGGACCTTTGCCAAAAGTGATGAGCAGAAGTTAATTAAAAAATAGAAAAAAAATACTGCATAAACCTGAAAAAGAAGATCTTGATTGTGTATTGAAAGAATGGATCCATCAGCACTGCAGTGAACTCAAGTTACTTAATAGTATGCTGACTATGAAACAAGCAAAGATCTATCACAGTAAACTGAAAATTAAATGGAACTATAAGAATTCAGCCTGCTGGCTGGAGAAATTTGAAAAACATCATTGATACCGACAGAAGGCAGCCAAGCATCCCCCGGTGAAAGCCTGCCTTCAAGCCTTAAACAGCCTGAAGGCTGAAAAACCAGACTGCCAGTCCCAGATGAAGCTCGCCCTTTTCTCAACTTATTCTTTCTCAATAATGCCCACCTGCACACCGGGACGATGGGGTGGAGTCTTGGGAAGTTTGTGCCATTTGCAGGGAGGAGGAGTCTGACCTCTGCTGTTCCTGGATGGTGACCCGGGATTCAATCTGTGACATGGGGGCCTGTTAACAGAAACCCTTCTCACTTTGCTGAGCTTTTTGGTTTTTCTTTTCCTTTTTCACCCAATAAACACCGTTCCCCCTCACCCTTCCAAAAGTGTCTGTGTGCCTAAGTCTTCCTGATTGTGTGACAAGAACCCATTTTTTTCTACAGCAACATGGCATTACATTTTTAAAGCTCTGGGTGATAAGCATCTGCTGATCATAAAGCAGCAGAGAAACTCATTGATGAGTTTGCTAAAGTCATTACTGATGAAAATCTGACTCCAGAACACATCTATAATGCTACTAAAACGTAACTGTTTTGGCCTTGTTGCCCCCAGAAGACACTGACTACAGCTGATGAGACAGCTCCTACAGGAATTAAGGATGCCAAGGACAGAATAACTGTGCTAAGATGTGCTAAGGCAGCGGGCACACCTAAGTGTAACCCTGCTGTGATAGGCAGAAGCTTGCATCCTCACTGTTTTCAAGGAGTGAATTTTTTAACAGTGCAATATTATGCTAACAAAAAAGCATGCATCCCCAGGGACATCTTTTCTGATTACTTTCATAAACATTTGGTACCAGCAGCTTGAGCTCACTGTAGGAAGGCACCAAATTCTCAAAGATTACGTTTATGCCATATACTTTCCTCCAAATGTGACTTTGTGGATTCAGCTACATGACCAGGGCATCCTCAGATCAAAGAAAAGTCAATATAAAAACACGTTCTTGAAAAGCACGCCAGCAGCAGAGAACAGAGGTATGGGCGTGAAAGGTTTTGAAAAGTTTAGGATGCCATAGGTGCTGTTGCCAATGCTTGGAAGATGGTGACTAAAGGCACAGTTGTGCATGCCTGGCACAATCTCTGGCTTATGACTATGTTTTGTGATGATGACAAAGTGGTGACTTTGAAGGATTCCAAAAGTCAGATGAGAAGAAAAATGTCAGATCTCCTTACATATGCAAAAATTGTATCTTCAGAATCTGTCAATAGGGTGGAACAGGTGGATAACAAAGAAGTTCTTAACATCAATAATGAGGCTCCGGTTGTTCATTCATTAGTCAGTAGTGAAAAAGCCAAAATGGCTCTGAGTCTAGATGATTGTGATAATAGTAACAATGAAAATGACTTTGTTAACACTACAGAAAAAGTGCTTATACATGACATGCTGAAAATATGTGATGGGTTTATCGAAGGACTAGAGCAGCGTATGTTCGTAGCTGATAGCAGAACAAGAAATCACTTCAGTTTATAAAATGAAAGAGAGACTTCTAAGGCAAAAAAATAGTTACTAATGACACAGATGACACTACAGTTAACATTTTAACAAGCCATTTAGAAGAATGTCCCCTCATCTCCAGAGGACCTACTTCCCGGTCCTTCAACTGCTTCTAATGTTTCTTCTCACCTAAAGAGACAAAATACAGGGTTCAGTAACCTTTTAATCGAAACACAGCACCGCAGGTAAAGACTGAAAGCCTGCTGGTGTTTGTTGTTGCTGTTGTTTAATAGCTCATACAGGCATCTGGTGATGCTACCGTGCTGCTTAGCTACTTTGAACACATTATTTTTTTCATTGTATTAATGGTATGTTATATTACTGTTAAGTACTTATGCCTGAATAAGTATAAGAAAATAATTGCTTCTCGGTGGCATACAAAATCAAAGTCAGGAATGATGGTGATGCCAAACAACCATAGATTGTCCTCAAGTGTGGCCAAGATAGTGGCACCTTTGCTTTATGATGGTTCAATGTACCCAAACTTTGTTTCACACACAAAACTGTTGAAAATGTGTAAGACTGCCTTTTGGTTATG
The DNA here is from genome assembly GCF_000001405.40 of Homo sapiens. Lineage (NCBI taxonomy): Eukaryota > Metazoa > Chordata > Mammalia > Primates > Hominidae > Homo > Homo sapiens. The sequence goes on along the minus strand of NC_000020.11, from coordinate 7,288,113 downwards.
TGTAAAAAGTACATATGAAACATATATGAATTGCATGTTTAGAGTTAAGTTTCATCCCTAAGATATCTTTTTAGAGTTAGGTTTCATCCCTAAGATATCTTATTACGTATATGCAAATATTTTAAAATCTGAAATTCAAAACACTTCTGGTCTCAAGCATTTCGGATAAGGAATGCTCAACCAATAGATAGGTAGGTAGGTAGGTAGACAGTTAGGGAAGGAGGGAGAGAGGGAGGGAGGGACGGAGGGAGGGAGAAAGGGAGGGAGGGAGGGAGGGATGGATGATAGATAGATAGATAGATAGATAGACAGACAGACAGACAGGAATATCTCAAGATTAGGGCTATGATGAGATGAAGTGAGACACCTGGAAGGAAACATTTAAGGAGGTGTTCTTAGGGGATATAAAGGGATCTAACTCAGTATATCTATGCTTCTATCATCTCTGCCATTTACTAGCTATATTTTCATCCCTAGGTAAGGTACTTAACCTCTCTGTGTCCTCAATTGAAGAGCAATAGTACCCAGCTGATAGTGTTGCTATAAGGATTAAATGAATTATTACACATAAAGTACCAAAAACATTACATAGTAATGTTATCAATAAGTTTCAGTATTAATTATTATTAATATATAATATTTCATTTACTTAAACTTGCAATGTTTTAAGTTGAAGTACCTGGGATTATGTGGTCTAAAGTTTTGCGAGTTTAGAAATAATGAGTTTTCATGTAAATGTGTTTATGCCACGTCTGTCCTTGCAATAGTGAAAATTGAATTAGACACATTTTAAATATAGAAAAATAATAAGCCTAGTTCAAATATTTTATAAACGATAAAATCAAACTGAAAAAATCTAATTATTTCCATCTGCACTTATTTCAAATATTATTTGTAATATATGCTATAGATTTTTAAACTCTGATCAAATATTGCCAGACCTCACAAGAGCCTAAGTGCTGACCTTTAATTTTAAATGTGTTTTTTTCACGTGTGTGGGAAGAATTGGGCAGAAAAATGAACTTTCAGCTCTTGTGGAGGGCAGTGGGGTCCACCAACTTTATTTTTACTGTTAAAATCTGTGTAAAAATAACATTATTATGACACAGTGAAATCCCCTACAATATGTTGAAATGACTAAGAAAAGAAAATAAAAGTAGGAAAACTTTAAGTGGGTTTGATTTTGGAAGCCAAATATTTTTAGAAAAATGTAATGAAACTTGCTTATTACTTTTACTTTCAACATTTTGCTACATCAAATGTTTATCTTTCAAAGACCTGGTTTAGAACACACACCTACACACACATGCACACATACACACACACAGATAGGGTATTTCTTCTCTCTCCGTTTCATGACTTTAACATTTCCCTTTCCTGGTCCTGGGGAGGATATTAGAAGGGATAAGCCCTAACATTAAAACAAACACATAAATAAACTACCAATGGGAAAAATACCACCTCGTTTCTTTAAGGATTTAACCTAACCAAAATTGGGCTTCCCTGGGGTCTGCTTTGCTCTGTTAGACCCGTTCAGCAGGAAATGGCACATGCTGAAACTTCGGAGTATCACACACTAACTGGTGATTGCTGATGTTGGGCCCTAAAGAAAAACAGTTAGGAGATGAAATTCCCCATAGCCCCCTGTAACCAGACTCCTTGAACATTGTCCCTAAACCATTAAAGTTACTGTGGCAAAGGTGTCATGCCTTGTCCAGTAGTGCTGAGCTTCTATGTTTGATGCATGAACACCTATAGGCAGAGTTTGTCTACCTAAGGCTTAAGCCATGGCATTCAAAGAATGGTGTTCATATTTAAGTAATAAAAACACTCACCAGTTATTACTGACTAATCTCACCCAATGAGCTGAAAGAATGCCTGGTGCTTGGGAGTAGGTTGTTATAGCGGCCGTGGTGCGAAAGCCAGGACATACATAATTAATATCTACCGCTTTCCCGAAGACTCTTGTTCTCAAGTAAGCTATGTCCTCAGTCATCAGCAGATGGCGCTGTTCCCTGAGGCTCAGAGCTCTTCAAATCGGCCTGTCTCAATATTGGATTGTACTTCCCAAGGCTTAGAGTGTAGGAGGCTAGAAATCACTTTCTCGAAACACTGGCTAGAGTTATTTGCCATGAAGAATTCACCAGGCAGTCTAGTTAACAGAAAGCAGAGAAGTCCTGATAAAGCTATGCTATGGAAAGCTCATCTTGTTGAAACTGGCTCTTTGGCTCTATGTTTTTAATATTGTTCTAAAATATAAATTTTGCTTTTCAGCCAGACTGTTCTTTCATGCAGTCTTGTGTGACCGCCACTGAGAAGGCAAACCAAACTTATTCTTCCAAGAAGGTCTGAGATGAACAGACTTCTGGTGTAACACACACATCAGTAGTGACCCTTCTTGCTAATGGAAGAACAGAGTTTGGGGGATTTTTAACCACCTATTCCACAATATGAGGCAGGATGTGATCCAACTTCCCATCAGAAAACACTTGGGGAGGTATTTTTAAATGACAGATTTCCAAGCCTTACCTCAAACCTGCTACATCCAAAACTCTAGGGGTGTGACTGGAAACTGTTCGGTTTTTGTTTGTTTGTTTAATCTCTTCAAATCGATTCTGATGCAGCTGGGCCATTATTTGGCAGACTGAGAACATCCAAACTATATAACCCGTCCCAATAATATATTGAAGAATTCTATGATTTAAAAAAAAACGTGCAAGAAGCATGAATACTTTAGTTTTCAGAGACTCAAAAGACAGTATTATTCCTGGGACTACCTCATGAGAACTTGCTTTTATGAGTGAGCATGAATGTTCATGCTGAAAAGCCATTTATCTCAATAAAGTCAAGGAAGTTTTTAGTTTTCACAAAAGAAATCTGGGAGTAAAAAACTACAATGTTGAGTTATTCTTTTCTATGTGTTCTTTGAGCTTTCTATTCAATATTTGTTGATAATCAACTATATGTTAAGCATTCAAATAATGAGATCAAGCCTCCACCCTCAAAGAGAATACGTAGGGCAGATTGAACAGGAAAAGGTAAGCAACACTACAAATAAGAAACTATAATACAGGACAGACATAATCAAATGTAATAAAGAAACACAACAAGAAAATGAAGATTAAAAAATAATGATGAATGCTCATGTAGGGCAATTTTGGTTTCTTCCTAGCAGAGGTGACATATTTTTAAGAAGAAATTATGAATAGGATGTCATTTGCTTTTAAAAAAATCATTCTTAATGGGTACCATTTTCCTTAGAAGAGCCATAAAAAGTAGCTCCTGGACCACTAGGAACTTTAGATAAGCCCCTCCCAGTGCTATGGCCAGCTTCTCCACTCTCCCTGGCCCACCAGCTCCTCATCTACCATCCTACCTGTGAACCTTTTCTAGAAAGAAGAAATGTGCCAAAATTCAGACTTTCTGGCCTTCTTATATACTTCTGATTTTGTGAGGACCTGAAATACTGCTTTGGATAGGAGGAACCACAATAGGCCAGTTTTAGTTACCTAATTTCATGTAATAGAATTTAATAATTATGTATTTATTAACATTTGAGTGTGTCAGGTCATTCTAAATCTATGAATAATTTAACAAAATGGGCCCTGCACATGTACTGTCAGTTGCAGGAATTGCACTAAGTTTGGAAATGTTCCTTCACTTTTTCCAGGGTCTGGACTACCTCTGATGATGTTTATGTTCTTTATCCTTTTGTGAATGGGTTCTTTCTTTTTTTCGTTTTAATACACAAGCCAGGATGTTACAGATTAGTCTCTTAGAGGACTTGTTCTTCTAGATTATGAAACACTTAACATTAAGTTTTATTTTGGATTGCCACTCCAACACAATCAGAGGAAAAGAACTACATGAGAATGTCAAACTCTAACTGGTAATGTTGTTTACCAGACGGTATGTTAAAAATTATGGAACCATTATAGACACACACTGGATTTGAACAATTGAGTAGATGTATGGAAGATGGTGAGAACTAGGTTCCTCACTGTTAGAGTAGAAGGTTGTATACAACCCAGGTGAAGAGAAGGCTAATACGATCCAGGTGGCATAGACGGCCAAGCGTGGTGGCTCCCGTCTGTAATCCCCACAATTTGTGAAGCCGAGGCATGTGGATCACTTGAGCCCAGGAGTTTGAGACCAGCCTGAGAAACATAGGGAAGATCCTGTCTCTATTAAAAAAAAAAAAAAATTAGCCAGGTGTGGTAGCACACATCTGTGGTCCCAGCTACTGAGGAGGCAGAGGTGGGAGAATTGCTTGAGGCTGCAGTGAGCTGTGATTGCACCATTAAATACATATACACACACATATGTGGAAAGGAAGGAAATATGTGTATTAATCCATGAATATACACTTATCTGCACACATACACACACACACACACACACACACGTGTGTGTGTCCAATGAGAGAGCCTAGAAATAAATGATGCCCCAGAAGCAGCAAACACACCTATCCCCCAGATGTTAGTTTTGAATACAATTTTCCAAGAAAAGGAACCAGGGGACTTTTTGGAGAAATGAATGATTTTACAGAAGAAATGAATCATTTAGACGAGCTAAATGAGCATATCAAACCACCTGCAAGTCCCTTATGACATTACGAAAGCAACCTCAATATAGTATAGTAGTTCTCAAATGTTAGCAGGCCTCAGAATCACTTAGAGGGCTTGTGAAAACCACTCTTCTCTCCCCATTTCTGACTAAGTAGGTTTGGAGATGGAATCTGAGAATTTACATTTCTAATGAGCTTCCAAGTGAAGATGACACTGCTTGTTCAGGGATCATACTTTAAGCATTACTGCCTTTCCAGAATCGTAACAAGATATTGTGAATTACTAAAATAAATACCATCTTCCACTTACATGTTTCTGTCCTGCTTCACATGGTCTAAGTTCTTTCAAAAAGCTAGCTAGAAAGCAGATTTAGAAAATAAATGGTGAGAGACAGTGTGAATAGGAAGGATTCAGTGAGGTAGTTTAATATTTCATACTCTCATTTATTTATTTTTTATCCATTCAATCACCTATTTATCCAACATGGGCTATGTTCCAATTGGGGGTTATAGATATATAGTGAAGGGTGCACCTAACTCAGCAAGAGGTGAATAGGAAAGACTTTAGAAAAGAAATTGATTTAAACTGAATTTTAGTTGGCAAGAAAGACAGCCAGACAGATTGGGGGGTGGGGAGGGGGTAGAGTGAACGGGCAAAGGGAGCAGTTTGTGCAAATTCACAAAGCAAGAGAGAACATTGGCATAGCTGAATAACTGCAAGGAATTAACTAGATTAACAAAATATGCCCAGGGCCGTACCAAAACTCAGATCTGAATGAGGATTTCCCTTGTCAACAAATTTGGCTTTTAGGTGGTCCCAATTAACCATCTCTCTTGTCTTCATCTATCTATCTAAATCCTGTTTTTCTTTATGGACTGAATTTAATCTTATCTAATCCAGAGTTCTTTAATAGTGGCTCAACCTAAAGTAATCTGCTGTTTTTGCTGCTGTGTCCAAGAACTAAACAGTTCCCATTTCCTGTCATGACAGGTTAGTTCATGATTGTTTGTGTTCATGTGTTATTTCCCATAATTCTTTGCACCTCCCGATCTCCCATAGTACTCCAGTCCAATGTCTTTAACTTTGGAATAGCCAAAGATATTTGTTAATTTACCCCAATTTATCACTCTTATATTAGAAAACTGATAGAATTTATGCCAATAATGTTGTTTCACATATAAATAAAGGACATCAAATCAATTATACAAGCACAATGACCATACACGCACGATTGTAGGTTTAAATATTGTGACAGTATGTCGTAAATTTTAAGACAGTGTTCATTCTTGCATTTCTGGTTATTATAGCTTTCACATTCCTAAGTATCAAAATACTGAAAACAGTAGACCGAATTCATTTTCATTGAATAGAATTGATTATCTATGTTAAAAAAAAAAAACCCTCAGTTTTAGGAATATGAAAAAGAACAGTCTTAAAATCTACTTGAAAATAAGGAAACTTAAACAACCAATTCTAAAACAGCAGGTATGAAGAATTCTAGGAAATTGAGAAAAAAAATTTAAAGTGGTGAAAATAAGAGAAGTACAAGATATGGTAGGAGGAAAAGACAGGGCCAAAAGAGACTAGCAATTGATTAATATTTAAATAAAATGTGATATATGCATACAATGTGATATATTATTCTGCAATGAAAACTAGCAAAATACTTATACATGCTATAACATAAATGAACCTTTAAAACATCATGCTGAATGAAAGAAGACCATGTATTCAAAGATTCCATTTATATGAAATGCCAGTAATAGGAAAATCTATAGAGACATAAAATAAAATAATGGATGCCTATGCCTAGGGATGAGATGAGGGAAATTGACCATGGTTGAGGCCTAAAGGAAATAGAGTTTCTGATGAGGGAAACTGGGCATGGTTGACACCTAAAGGAAATACAGCTTCTTCCGAGGCTGATAAGACTGTTCTAAAATTGATTGTAGCTGCACAGTTTTGTGAATATACTAAAACCCACTGATTTTTTACACTCTAATGGGTGAAATTCATGATATGTGAATTACATATAATTAAGCCTTTACAAATTAAAAATAAAGAAAATTAGCAAGACAGTTTTGAGCCTTATTTTAAAAGATTATTAATGTTGGATCAAAAACTTTACCCATTAGAGACTGAGCATAAAAAGGACCGTCATCTGCAGATGTAAGTTTTAGAAAGATAATGTTGGTGGCAGTGTGCTACATGAAGTAGAGATGGGTAACAGGACACGATGACTCTAATGAAGACCAATTGAATCAGGACTTGGATGGCTGGGGCAAAAATGTGGTCGTCGCATAATGGGCATTGGGAAGTAAAATTGACAAGACTTTTATTGAATATGGGGTGACAAAGAGAGATTGGTGGGGAGGGAAATTTGAAGAGCCAATTTCATGTGGTAAATGGTGGTTTCTAATAGACCAATATAGGTGATTTGAGGAGAGGAGTGAAAAAAGTAAAAAATTAATAGTCAACTTTTGATAAACTGAGTTTGCAACTTTATAAATATGTTCATGTCAAAATGTCCAAGTGGCTACTGAAACTGTTTCCACGGAGAAGAAAGGTAAAAACCATTAAACACTATGTGGAAAAACCAAGACATTGAAGATTTCCAGAGAGTTCTAATATTTGAGATTGTTACAGGTGAATAAAAGAATTATATTGACAGGCAGGGCACGGTGGCTCATGCCTATAATCCCAGCACTTTTGGAGGCCGAGGTGGGTGGATCGCTTGATGCCAAGAGTTCAAAACCATCCTGGGGAACATGGAAAACCCCATCTCTACAAAAAGATACAAAAATTAGCTAGGCGTGGCGGTATGTGCCTGTGGTCCCAGCTACTCTGGAGGCTGAGGCATGAGAATCACTTGAACCTGGGAGGAAGGGATTGCAGTGAGCTGAGATCACACCACTGCACTCCAGCCTGGGTGACAGAGCAAGACTCTGTCAAAAAAAAAAAAAAAATTTGACAATGAATTTACAATGAATATTTTTAAAAGGAGGAAAATAAAAGCCAAGGGAAGTGGAATTCAAGAGAGAAAGAAAGCTGATCGGCAGCATAGGCAAGAAAAATATTCTGTAAAGCTGCTGGTGAGTTCTTGGAGAGGAAATTCAACAGCGTTCTGTGGATGAGGACAAAACTGCAAGGAGAAATGGAAAAGGGGATGAAGTACAGGTATCGTTTACTGTTTGAGGAACATATGGTTTACACAGAAGCACACAAGGAACAAAGCCAAGGGAACATAGCACTGGAACACAAGAAAGACTACTTAGGGACATGTCAAAATCAGTTTTGATTTATTCCAGCTTTGGAACCCAGGTAAAACAGAACAAGGGCCTCTAAAATTTTTTCAATCATCTCTATCTTTCCTCACTTCACTGCCATGGATATTTTATCTATAAAGTTATCTAAATGACTCTTGTAAAAATTTGCATTATCAACTGTATTGAATTTTCAAAGAAAAAAGTTTTCATAATTAAAATGCATTCTCTTATTATACTAAATGGACTAAATTTAAGCATCAAAGCATTCAATTCATTCAAAAATTTTTACTCTGTGCCTACTATATGCTAAATGTAACACTAGTTGCTGGGACTACGATGAACAAAACCTGAAACCTGACGTGACTGTACATCATGAATTAACAGTCCGCTGCTGGTTATAGGCATTAATCAAATAATCACAAACATAGAATTAGTATGGTATGTATTACTTCTAATATTCCATATTATAATAAATAGTTTGTTTTTATTTATCCCATGTCCCATATTTTATACTTTTTAGTTCTTTACTGTTTTGGGGGAATGGTGGCTTACCTCATTGAATTCTCATACCAGTAAGGTATAACACTGTAATCTCAAATGATTTATCAAGAGAAACACAACCATAAAGTTTTAAAGCCAGGTCTAAAGATCGGTCATCTGTCTTGTAGAATTTCGATATCTACCTATTCACATGTCTTTGAATATTGAAAAAAATTTCTATGTGATTCATGTGAAGCCTTATAGAAAACAAGAAAAATGTGATATATACAGTAGGAAGGAATTTCCTATGTTTTCTTGGCACTGAAATTTTCCTGGAATGGTTTTTGGAAATACATTATTAAAATGCACATTGCTGGTGGAAAGCATTAAAATGATACATCCAGATCCTTAAGGTATAGGTTTTATTTGTAGAATTAAATAAAAAACCTAGAGAGGCAAACAAAACCCTGAAGCTTCCTTTTTTAAAAAAAATGTTTTGATAAGCATTTCTAACCTTTATCAGCATGAGAGCTACAGGTCATAGACATAGTGAGTTGAGGTGATGATAAAAATCAGGGTGATAAGAATAGGCAGTGAATTGCAGAGGTTAGATCAGACTTGAAGAACTCGTGAAGGTGTTGATACTCAGCTCAGCAGAGATGGCTTTAAGTTCCAGGGACAAAGCCCAGTTGCCAAGAGACAAGCTCACACAAGGAAACTTATTAACAAAGCCCAGGAATAATATCTGTATAGCTGGCATCAGACCAGGAAAAGAAATTGAATAATGTACATCAGTATCCAGTACTTCCATGATTTCAGCTGTGATGTCTTTGCAAATAACTTTCCATCTTTGTCTCCAGCCTTCACCTAGCTCTTGATTTCAAGATTCAAACTCCCATCCTCACTAGATGACTTTCTAATCTCAAACTCAACTGGACTCACCATTTTCTCTCTCAAGCCTGTTTCTATCTGAAGTTTCTCAAATTAATTACAACATCTCTCAAGCCATTCAAGCTTGAAGACTTAGAATCCTCTCTGGCTCCTCTTCCTCCCTTCCTGGCTACAGTTAGTGCCAGATCCTCTTGATTCTACCTCCATCTGACTACAAGACACACAACCTCCTTTCCATAAGCATGGTCATTGTCTTGGTTAGGGCCATACTACCTCTTACCCAAATTAATGTGATGAACTCTTAAATGGTTAGCCTCTCCCTTTAGCTTTTCCTCCTAATTCACTTTATCAACTATTTTAAATTTAATATTGATAAAGGATTACATTTATTCATACATCTGAGCAAAACTCTAAGTACCCCTGTTGCATATAAAATAAAGCCCAAACCAGCAGCTTAGCAACCAAGAACATCCATCCTTTGACCGCAATGATTTTTCCAAAATTATCTCCTAACCCCTCTCCAGTTCAAACAATGTTGCTTACTTGCTATTTGCTATGTTAAATCTTGCTTTCTTATGTTACCTTTTTATGGTGTTACTTCTGCTTATAATGTCCTCCATCCAATGAATTTCTCTGTATCAAAACTCTACTCATTTTTAAATTCTGTTCTTATAAAGTCTTCCAAAACATGGAGGTTAAGCCATATTATCCAAATTATTATACCTTCTTTTACGCAAATTCTCATAATGTTTTTTTCCCTTTTTTTAAAATTTTACTTTAAGTTCTAGGGTACATGTGCACAACATGCAGGTTTGTTACATATGTATACATGTGCCATGCTGGTGTGCTGCACCCTTTAACTCGTCATTTACATTAGGTATATCTCCTAATGCTATCCCTCCCCACTGCCCCCACCCCACGACAGGCCCCGGTGTGTGATGTTCCCTTTCCTGTGTCCAAGTGTTCTCATTGTTCAATTCCCACCTATGAGTGAGAACATGAGGTGTTTGGTTTTCTGTCCTTGTGATAGTTTGCTGAGAATGATGGTTTCCAGCTTCATCCATGTCCCTACAAAGGACATGAACTCATCATTTTTTATGGCTGCATAGTATTCCATGGTGTATATGTGCCACATTTTCTTAATCCAGTCTATCATTGATGGACATTTGGGTTGGTTCCAAGTCTTTGCTATTGTGAATAGTGCCACAATAAACATATGTGTGCATGTGTCTTTATAGCAGCATGAATTATAATCCTTTGGGTATATACCCAGTAATGGGATGGCTGGGTCAGATGGTATTTCTAGTTCTAGATCCTTGAGGAATCACCACACTGTCTTCAACAATGATTGAACTAGTTTACAGTCCCACCAACAGTGTAAAAGTGTTCCTATTTCTCCACATCCTCTCCATCACCTGTTGTTTCCTGACTTTTTAATGATTGCCATTCTAACCGGTGTGAGATGGTATCTCATTGTGGTTTTGATTTGCATTTCTCTGATGGCCAGTGGTGATGAGCATTTTTTCATGTGTCTGTTGGCTGCATAAATGTCTTCTTTTGAGAGGTGTCTGTTCATATCCTTTGCCCACTTTTTGATGGAATTGTTTGATTTTTTTTCTTGTAAATTTGTGTGAGTTCTTTGTAGATTCTAGATATTAGCCCTTTGTCAGATGGGTAGATTGTAAAAATTTTCTCCCATTCTGCAGGTTGCCTGTTCACTCTGATGGTGGTTTCTTTTGCAGTGCAGAAGCTGTTTAGTTTAACTAGATCCCATTTGTCAGTTTTGGCTTTTGTTGCCATTGCTTTTGGTGTTTTAGTCATGAAGTCCTTGCCCATGCCTATGTCCTGAATGGTATTGCCTAGGTTTTCTTCTAGGGTTTTTATGGTTTTAGGTCTAACACTTAAGTCTTTAATCCATCTTGAATTAATTTTTGTATAAGGTGTAAGGAAAGGATCCAGTTTCAGCTTTCTACATATGGCTAGCCAGTTTTCCCAGCACCATTTATTAAAAAGGAAATCCTTTCCCCATTTCTTGTTTTTGTCAGGTTTGTCAAAGATCAGATAGTTGTAGATGTGTGGGATTATTTCTGAGGGCTCTGTTCTGTTCCATTGGTCTATATCTCTGTTTTGGTAACAGTACCATGCTGTTTTGCTTACTGTAGCCTTGTAGTGTAGTTTGAAGTCAGGTAGTGTGATGGCTCCAGCTTTGTTCGTTTGGCTTAGGATTGTCTTGGCAATGCGGTCTCTTTTTTGGTTCCATATGAACTTTAAAGTAGTTTTTTCAAATTTTGTGCAGAAAGTCATTGGTAGCTTGATGGGGATGGCATTGAATCTATAAATTACCTTGGGCGGTATGGCCATTTTCACAATATTGATTCTTCCTATCCATGAGCATGGAGTGTTCTTCCATTTGTTTGTGCCCTCTTTTATTTCATTGAGCAGTGGTTTGTAGCTCTCCTTGAAGAGGTCCTTCACATCCCTTGTAAGTTGGATTCCTAGGTATTTTATTCCCTTTGAAGCAATTGTGAATGGGAGTTCACTCATGATTTGGCTCTCTGTTTGTCTGTTATGCTTATTTTTTTAATACAAATGATTTTAGTATGTGTCTGGAGTCCCACCTGAAATTTACTATTCACAAGGGTACAACTGGTTCTTATCAAACTTGGAAAGGTGCGAAGCACCTATTGAAGTGTGCCATGTGAGACAGGGCATTGGTATTCTGAACAACTGAACACTTCACAGATTCAAATACGAAAATTCTGTAGGAGCTACACAGCATGTTCCAGGTCACACAGCTGTGAGAAGGGAGCCTTAATTCCAAGTCTCCTGAATTGTCCCTCACAGCTTTGCCTTACACCAGCTGCCTCAAGTTGACCCACAGGTTTCAGCCCATCCCATGGGTCTCTTTTTACTTTTCAACCAATGAGAAAATGTGTTGTCTCCCAGACTGTGGTGAAAAACACAAATGCACGTTCTTTTTCTGTTTCACATAATGATGTTTTCTGCCCTCTAGGATCTCAATTCCACTGAAAACAACACTACTGCTGTTTTCCTTGGACATCAACATGAAGTTTAGCTGAACTCCTTCTAACCCCTTGGATCTGGGACCTTGGGCTGCAATTCACTTGTGCTTCCCAGTTGCCTCACAAGTACTTTCTGGTTTCAACCCTGTTGGAAATATTGAGACAAGAGTCTCTCTCAGAGGGTAGTGTTTGATCACTTTTACTTTTTTGAGTTAGAGGGAAGCAAAGCCTCTAAAAACAAATAAACAACAGTTAATCAAGTTTTTGATCCTCCTCAAAAGCTTGAACTCAGTTCCAGTTTGAGGCAAAAATTTAGGTCAGTTCTCATTTTATTTATTTGTTTCAAATTTTTCAAGGGAGCCCTTCACCTAGGACGCCCCAGGGCACAAACACAGTAACACACACATAAACACACACACACACAAGCACGCACACATACAATTACCATGCTATTTTCAAATTAATCCACATCTCCATAAAAGCACTGCAAAAAACTAAAAATAGCAACAATAATAACAAAGCAACTCCAAAACAAACATTTTATCAGCTTATCTTGCAGAGGGACTTGCCCCAGTTACTTCTGTAGTATGGCTTAAATGATGATGCTAAAATTTTCCCCTACCCTGAAATATCCATAAAATCATCCTACCCTCTTATGTGAAACCCTTACCACAGGAAATTAAGTTCTTTAAATAAAAACATTAATCTCAAAAAAAAATCCTTTAATGTCTTAGGAGAGGTATCACTAAGCCATTGACACCTCATTGTGAATTAGTTTATATGAGATTAGTGAGTGAGTCACTCTCAAGAACTGGAGGAACTCCCCACAAGTTTAGACACTTGCTCACTATCCCCCAAACCCTTCCTTCTACAACTTTGCCCAATCTACATTTATTAACTGTTGTTTACTTATCAAGAACCCAACCACTGCAACTATCTTGAATTTATTTAACAGTTAAGGCTTAGCTCAAAGTTTACTTCTTTCATAAGTAGCACCAGGATGAAGTGGCTACAAGGTGCCAAGTGTTTTACAGTGCATTGTTCGTTTACTTTTTTTGATGAGTATCCTATGAGAGAAAGAGATGATGGGAGGCTGTGCATTTGTGGGGCAGGGAATATATGGGAAATCTCTGTCCTTTTTGTCAATTTCATTGTGAATCCTAATGTTCTCCAAAAGCTAAGTCTATTTTGAAAAGTCATATATCACATAAATTCCTAGTCCCAGAGAGAACAGCTTATTGAGGTTCTAAAAGATGCAAAAGGTTTGGTCAAGTTATTTATTGCCCTACCTCCCAGAATCTCTCCCTTCTCCCTCTAAGGATGAGACTCCTTCTTATGACTGAATGTAAGAAGATCCACAAATGGTGAAGAAGGGAAATGATGAGATTTTCCTCAACCATCAAGAGAGTAAAGGGCTGTAGGATGATTGATAGGAACTGAAACAAATGGACAGTAATTTTTAAACATTAAAACATGTCAGCAATGTAAGTTGCTACTAGAATCAATAATGGTGGTTGCCATACCTGGGCAGGTCAAACATACTGTTTATTGCCTAAGAGAGGGAGAGAGTTAAAGAGAGATTGAGAGAGGAAGGATACAGAACCAAAAGTCTACACAGGAAATTAAGTGTGTGCTAAACATTAAATACATCTCATGCCGAACTATTGCTTAAAGCCACTTCAGCCATTAATGGGAACCTCGTTGCACAACTCCAAGCTGCCATTTATATAGACTCCTATGTAGATAGTCTGGTTGCTATCACATATAACTCATAGTTTCCTCTCCAGCCATACCATATCCAAACTTTGGAAACACAGCAATAGAAAACTACATGAAACATGAGATGTGGTCTTTCTTCTAACCTATATGAAAATAGATGGTTACCGAAAACAAAACAAAACAAAAAATCACGTTACTCCAAAATATTGACTTTCAAAAATATCCCTAATGCAAACCTGGAAATTGAAGAAGATGATCAGTAAGTGAGACAACCAAGAAATAATGATGATCAAACCAACTTTAAAGAAGCCTCAGCTAGGTGCAGTGGCTCAGGCCTATAATCCCAGCACTTTGGGAGGCTGAAGCAGGTAGATCACGAGGTCAGGAGTTCAAAACCAGCCTGGTCAATATGGTGAAACTCCATCTGTACTAAAAATACAAAAATTAGCCAGGCATGGTGGCACGCACCTGTAGTCCCAGCTACTCAGGAGGCTGAGGCAGAAGAATCCCTTGAACCCAGGAGGCGGAGGTTGCAGTGAGCCAAGATCATGCCACTGCACTCCAGCCTGGGCGACAGAGCAAGACTCTGTCTCAAAAAAAAAAAAAAAAAAAGAAGCCTCTTCCATCTATGGTGTTTGAGAGTCAATCCAAAGTTGGTTCGTCATGAAACTAATGAAGCTTAACCTTTAGGGCCCCTACTTGTGTAACCCCTTTCAAGGTTCCAAAGAGGGATCTAAAAATGAACTCAGAAGTTTATATGTACTTTTTAAAATTTTTCAAAAATAAGATATTTAATCAAAATTGATTTAGTATCACTTTCGTTTCAATTTTTTTTTACCCTTGTAGATAAGGAAGTTTTTCTCATTTATTTTTCTATTGTGTAATATTTAAGACATTCCAAAAATATGTAAAATGTATATTACGAAATACGCTAAATGAAGGGTTTTTTTTTTCACTTTTTTGTTTTAAGTAATGAAATCTACATGCTATAATTAATGCATGTAGGATCAAAGCATTTGACTTTTGGTCTTGTCTTTGCCCCGCTTTTTCCCCCTTTGGGAAACTTAATTAGTGTAAGTTTCAGTTGTTTTTTCTACAATAGCATCCTCAGCCCACTCTACTTCCTGGGAGATGTGAGGTGAAAAACAACAACAACAACAACAATGTAAGCTATCTTTGGCAGGGTAGAATATATATTTTTTTTATCCTATGCATTTTTTCTTCTTTAAACCTACTGGGAAAAGGTGTTTTTGTAAAATAGATATTCTACTCTAAGAAGCAGTCATATTAGCAAGAGAAAATTTATTGGCCTAGTAGATAATCCAATCTTCAGATTCTGAAAGGCTTGTTTCTATTTCCTTGGAGGATCATAAAGACACAATACTGGTCCTATAAAGTAGACTTAGGAAGAGTGATGCCCATGGCCATGACCTCACAATATTCCACCAGATGGAGCCAGAGATTGAGGAGATTACCGTAAAAACAGGCAAAAGAAAGACCACTACTCATCCAAGGATAATCCTATTTGGACTGAAACACAAGCTGGAGTTTAGTGGGAGTTCATGTTTACCAGTAGACTGTTTTACTTCTGGTTATGAATAATATTTGGACATTTTCCCATACATCACAAGGTAGAAATAAAGTCATGTACTACACAGATAATTGGGAAAGCATTTTCTAAACTACAAAGTATTCTACAAATATTGCTATTACTATTGTAATAGTCTGAGGGATAGTACTTAGTAGCACTGTTTCTGAAAAACAACAAACTTACAAAATAATTCTGTCATCATTTATTGGACATAAACCAAAAGAGATGAAGATTCAGAAAAGAATGATATAATTCTTATTTTTATAGAACTCACATTTCATGTGGCCTTATAAAACATGGCCATGTAACCCAAATAAATGAGGGCATGCCAAATGGCTCAGCCGCTTCTTAGGGTCTCATTTATAGAAACACAGAATGCTAGTCAAATGTAATTTAAATCTCCCTTATAGGATTGAGGATATACCTTTTATTGCTGACCAAAGGACTTATGAAAAAAACTCTAGCTTATCTTTTTCCACAATACTCTTAACCCTGAGAAGCTCTGGTGTTTCATTTTCTCAGCATTTCTCAACTCTCTTTGAATTTTCCCCTTGATACTCTTGATACTCATGAATAGCAGAGAGTGTGTGCTATTCATGCTGGGCCACTCTAGAATAGCCATAAATTTGAGTATTTATAAGCAATAACTTGAATCCACTCTTTAATGCATTTAGAAAGAAGCCCATAGCCTCATCTGAGATGTCTAGTTCTTTTCTCTCTAACTGCTTCCTCCACCCCAACCCCGAAATGATAACCACTAGAGAATTTCTAGTAAATACAATTATGATTTTATTAAACTGCTAAAAGGCTGGACTTGTATAATAAAGAACATTCATAAAATGAAACTGCTTTTACTACATTTTTGCCATTCTTCTTAGTGTCAGTACCATAAATGTTACCAATTAGTTCTTTATGAGATATTGATTGCAGATAGAAACTAGATAAGAATTCTGCCATGGAAGATGAAACTTTGAAAAGTTGTTGAACCAAAGGGCTACCAATGGATGATCCACACCTAGACGGAGACGCCCAGTAGATAACCTTTAGTAACTTTAAAGGCTTCTAAAGTGGCTTGGTAATGCTGTCTCCTCAACATTTAACAAAGAACAAAGTCACCATAAGATGTTTTATTAACTTCAAGTTTGGAGCAGGTAATTTCTAGGTTTCCCATCAAAGCTTCTTTTCTATGTCCAGTGAATGGAAAAATCCCTCAAATGGTTAAAGAATTGGCCTGGGATCTGGGTGTAGCTTAAATCATTTAGATTTGAAATGTGAGGATTATAAGGAGGCCAAATTCACCTATGGAGAAAACAAACATGACCTTTTTCTGACCTAAGTTTCTCTAACATGCCCCATGAATAAATGTGAAAGTCACTTCCTTTCTTGGATTGTGTTTTCCATGTTCCTTACTGATCCCTATGGAATATGGACCAAAGCACCTACAGCATCTCCACCACCAGTTTCTCAGCATCTCCTCTCTTTCTCAACAAGAAAGAATTTCAACATCCAAAACAGAATCCCTTTCAAACGGCGATTATCTTTACCTTCCTGTTATCTAGTAGTATGTTTATTGGTTATGAAATAGTGAGTAATAAAAAAGGGATTTTTAAAAATAGAATGAACCCAGATAGCGACAATCTATCCTGAACCGTCTGGCTTTCTCTTGAACAATATAAGTTACCTCAGCAAAATGACTGATACAGTGCTTTTCCTAGACAACTAAAATCATCAGTCTTGCTGTGCTGTGGCCATGGTGTTTTAGGTACCTGTATGGTTCAGGTTAATTTGTAATTGAAAAGCTTATCTGACGTATATACCAATCTTCTCTGTATTTCCTTTATCTCCAGTTCTACTACCTAAATTTCTGAAGTCTAAGATATAGACCAGAAGAAAAAGAAAAACTTAACTGTAGATAAAGATAGAGAAAAAACAAATAAATAAAATAAAGCAGCTAATAATCTCCTTTACGGGACATTAATTTATTTTTTTGTTTGTTTTTTATTTTTGTAGAAAATGAGCACACTTACACTTCTAGAAAGACTCTTTTTCCTTTCCTTTACCTATCTTCACTGTAGGAGAAATTTTTTATCCTCTTTTCAGAATAAAAAAGATATCTTTACCACTAAAAGTAAACTGCTTTTTTAAAAATCGTTTATCATGATTCTGTCATGAGAGTTTTGAACAGTTCAGTGCTTTAAAGGACTTCCCTAGTTTTGTAATAGATCAATGTGGCAAAAACTGAAATGCTTTAAAAAAGCAAAACTTGGATTGGAATAATTTAAAAGCACCATATTCTTTTATATCCTGTAGGAAATAATTTGGCATAAATTAAAACAGGCTGGAAACTGGCTTATGATCTACATTTATTTTGCCATCTTTTTCAAATATTTATATCTAATCTAAGTCTATTAGCTATACATGTATATAATCTCTGTATCTGTGGATTTACATACATCCACGTAGATATACATAAGTATACACATACATATATTTAATTTTAAAATCCTTATAAAAACAAGTTTTCTTTTTTCTAGAAATTTTCCTTGGGTTTGCTCATGACTTTCCAATCCAGAATTATGTAAATAAATTATATCATACAAGGCAATATGTTCAAGGAGTTACTACATTAAGTAAGCAAACGTCATATAAAACCCGCATAAACAGAGTCCCTCATTCAGGTTCCTTTGAAACATGTTTATTCTTGGGAACTCATTCACTCTTCAAACCTTCTTACCTTTAAACTGCTTCCAAGCTCAAAGAGCCCCGGAAAGAATTCATGTGCCTGAAGCTATACCACCCTGAGAGGATCTGCTCCTTAAATTTTACAATTGTCAGGTGGAGAGAGGGGAGTGAGGAGGAAGGGGAGGGCGTTTGGGCTGGACCCAGAGGAGCCCGGCAGCACACCTGCAACAGAGAGGAGTTACAGAGCAGTGCCAATGACTCAGGCCTGCATCAGGCCTTTAAACTCGGGATCTGAAGGCTGTTGCTCATTTTAAAAAATAACAAAACAAAACA
This sequence comes from Homo sapiens, assembly GCF_000001405.40. Taxonomy (NCBI): domain Eukaryota; kingdom Metazoa; phylum Chordata; class Mammalia; order Primates; family Hominidae; genus Homo; species Homo sapiens. The sequence goes on along the minus strand of NC_000020.11, from coordinate 7,269,560 downwards.
AAAACTCTTGGCATAATGTCATTGAGAGAAGGGATGTTAGTCCTCCTGACTGGCTTGTCCTGATGCTTGGGACACTAGAATCTGCTTGCTTTGATTTCCCTTTCAGATTGAGTGAGGCAGGGATTCTCCTTCACTTCTGGTCTCAGGCTGGGGTTCCTCTGGGCCATTACACAGCAGCTGTGCTCCATTCCAAAAACAAGTGTCTTATCTATAATATTATTCCTCCCTTGCTGTTCACAGGTGGGAATGTGAGGCATGGTGAGTTCAGTGGGCCACATCCATGACCATCTCGTATCAGGTTATTTTCACTATAAAGGAAGACATATGTGGAAAGATAAGTCATGTAGAGGAACTTAGTGTTTAGGTTTTCCTGAAAAGATGGCCATCCTAATTTTAATGCATTTGCTGTATACCATGTGACATAATTCAGCTTACAGAGAAAAACCTACATTTTTTTTTCATTGACCAGAGACATGGGTTTCCATCAAAACCAATTTATGGTTCCAAGATATGGAATCAACCTAAGTTCCATCACTGGATAAATGGATAAAGAAAATGTAGTACATACATACAATAGAATACTATTCAGGCATATAAAAGAATCAGATCCTGTCATTTGCAACAATGTGGATGGAACTGGAGGGTATTAAGTGAAATAAGCCAGACACAGAAAGACAAATATTGCATGTTTTCACTCATACATGCAAGCTAAAAGAATAATCTCATGGAGGTAGATAATGGAATGATGGATACCAAGGCTGGGAAGGGTAATAGGAAGTGGGGATTGAATAAAGATGGTTTGGTAAATGGGTACAAAAACAGAATTAGATAGAAGAAATAATATCTAGTATTCAGTAGCACAATAGGGTGACTATAGTTAACTTATTGTATCTTTCAAAATAACTAGAAGTGTGGAATTGAAATGTTCTTAACACAAATAATATATACTCAAGGTAATGGGTATACCAATTACTCTGATTTGATCATTACACACTGTATGCTTTTATTAATATTTCACATGATCCCATAAAAAGATACTATTATATATCAATAATAATTAAAAATAAAAATAATAAAATATACAAGATAATAAAAAAACCTCCAGGGTTCTGGTGACAGCAAGCTTTACGTATTTCAGAAACATGGTTCCAGGAGTCTCCCACTCTCTTTTTATAGTATGATAAATGACCTCTTATCTTGTTGAGGGAAAAACAGCAAATCTTGAGGATTCTCTTCTCCCATGTTTTTATCCACCTACAATAAAGTGACCATATGCCTTACCCAAGATATCTTGGGAAACATGTCTCCAACAGACAGGGATTCAGATTATAGTGAGTATTAATCTTCAAAGATTTGATATACAAGAAATAGCAAATTTGTTTATTTTTTTAAATCAATTAAATAGTTTTTGAGTTTTCCTTTTGTCCAGTTAGTGGAAAATACGTCTTAGCCATTATAGAATAGGGCCATTCCTCTAGCCTAATTTTGCCCAATATTCCCAAAGTCTTATTTGCTATCTGAAATATGAAAGCTAGGACATGTCTCTATCAGTCCATTATAATCAATAATGAAGTCCACCTTCTTATAGTTTCCAAATAAAATAAAAGGCACCTGCTGCTGTGGTTTAAATGATGGTGCGTGCTCCAAAATTTGTATTTTTTGTATTGAAACTTAATCCACATTGCAACCACTTTGAGAGGTGTTGCCTTTGGCTAGTGATTAAGCCATGAGGGCTCCATCCTCATGAATGGGATTAGTACCCTTCTAAAGGTGCCTGAGGTATAGAAGGAAATACTCTCTTGCTCTTCTACCCCTTCAGCCATGTGAGGACACAGCATTCTTCTCCAGAGGATGCAGCAATAAAGCACCATCTGGAAGCCGAGAACAAGCCCTTAAGACACCAACACAACTGTTGCTTGATCTTGCACTTCCCGGACTCTAGAATTATGAGCAATAAATTCCTATTGTTTGTAAATTACCCAGTCTGTGATATTTTGTTATACTAGCACAGACTAAGATACCTGCTAATTGTGAATTTCATAAAAATAATGAATAATTTTTAGTATAAATAATGCTTTAAATATAAATGAACATTTAGTCACAAATAATGCATGGGACATACTTATGCTAAAAAGTAATTCAACATTTACCTGAAATTCAAATTTAATTGGTTGTCATGTATTTTTCTTTGCAAAATATTGCAACACTGTTCCTTGCTCAAGCCTGAAAATCTCTTGATAACTGGCATCTTCAAACTCTGAGTGCTGTTCTGCCCCAAACTCAGGGTTTTTCAAATTCTTGGAGAAACAGCCCATGCTTGGATTCTGCCCTCTTGAGTACAAGAGAAAGCAAAATTTTCTTTGGTCTTAGCTTCTTTACTAGTCACCTTATATCCAGAACACCTTCTGGGAGTGTCTCCTTCTCTCCTTCCCTGATTTCAAGGCTTCTGGAAAACAGAGCTTTGAAAGCCAGGTAGTCTAAAAATAATGTTCACTTTTAAACCTGTCATATAGAGCTTCCCTGAGGCAAATAAATGTTTGAGGATTAGAAGAGATGAAAGGAAAATAAAAAGGGATCAAACCACAAATTAAGCTTTATCTCAATAAAGCTTTCTGACAAATGGTAATTTATAAAGAAATATCCCATCCAATAAAGATGGTCATCTTTCCTTTTCACTTTTCCTTCTAGATTAATAATGTGCCATATTGAAATGTGTTGAAAATTACAATACTCTTGGATAAACTACTGTGGAATCATTGTGCTTTCCATATTTACAGGGTGAGTCTAAGTACTTGCAGGTTGGTTGAACTGGATGGGGGGATTGGTCTTGCTTTGTACAAAGTCAGTAAGTCTTTCCATCTGTGTAGATGAGTCTTCTTTCAGTTGACTTGGAAGGGGGTAAACCAAAGTCTATTTTATTTACATAATAAAACCAGAAGCATACAACAAAACAATCAGCGTCTATCTGTCTTAATTGTGAAGAACAATTGGATTGGGAATTGGAAAATATGAATTGGACAAGTTGGTGTACCTGTGATTGTGTGATCCAGTTATTTAAACCTAAATAAATTCACCAAGCTTATAGAAATATAATAGGGTAGTTTCATATAATGTGGTCAGGCTAATTAATAAGCACTCCAATTACCACTTTTACCAATCTGCAATTTTGAGACTTCAGAAGTCCCCCATATCCCTATCTTAAATAGTGTGATTCATTCATGGATACTCTGATTGCATTTCAATTCTTGAAGGAGAAAGCAGGAAGAAAATAGATGGTCTCACTAGTTGTCGTAGTTCCTGCCAAAATACTTTTGCTAAGAAATCTTTCTTCTTCACAAAAGGCCTGATACGCAGTTGTTTCTAAAGCAGGAACCTGCTCTACTTTCTTCAAATGAATGGGAAAAGGTACAAGATCACTTGGAAAGAGTGAGGGTTAGGGTGGGTTTCCTAGCACCTTGAAACTGCTAGTTAGAAAGCTCAGAATAAGCAAATGCTCGCTTTTTCCCCACCTCCCCATCTCCTACCTCTCTTTTTTTATTTTTTATTTTTGTAAAATAACTATTTATTCTTCATTCCATCAGAGAAACAGGATATCCTAGAACCAGTGGAAATACATACACGGCTCATATAGGTATTTTAAGACTCTGGAATCTAAGGAAACTATGTGTTTTTTAATTAGAACTGATTCAAATGCTTTGACAAGTCTTGAAAGAATAACATATGAGGCATTCCAGGTTTACCCTGCAGTCAAGCTCAGCATTTCCAGCCTTTGAAGTTGCTGATTTACACACATCTGCGATGGGCTCAGCTGGACCCGCCACTTACAGACAACTTTAGAGTTACAGGCCCCAGGTCCACTGCATTTAAAGAGTCTGAGAAAGCAGTACTGTTCTTCTCTGCCTGAGCATTAGAATCACTCGGGAAGCTTTCCAAAAATTCCAGTGCTTATGCTGCACCCCAGACCAATTGTATCAGAATCTCTGAGGGTGGCATCCAGACATTAGTGTTTTTTAAAGCTCCCAGATATGGAGTTAACAATTAGGATAAATGAACTTTAAAGCATTCATGAGTAAGATTCATAAAAGGCAGATCTCTAACGCTTTCTAGGGTGAGAACTACAGAATTTAATGGAGTGACTTACATTAGGGGAGATGACCCCCAACTTCAGAGACCTAAGAGCAAATAGAGTTCTCAAAGGAGGCTACCCCTTAAGCTTCAAAAGGAGAAACATGTTTTCTACTGTTTAACAGTCAAGATGGAGGGGGTAGAGGACAAAGAGTACCGGAAAATCCTAAATTTTCATCCCCATTTTACCACTATCTTCTATGACACCTTGGACTTCAGTTTCCTCACCTGTTTAATATGGGTTGAGTTTTAATCAGTGGCTCTCAATTGCTCATTAAAACTCCGGGGGTATTTTGTAAAGTACTTATGCTCAGGCTGAAACCCAGACTAATTAAATTTGAATATCTCGGGCAGTAATTCAAGATTTAGCTATTTTAACATATTCCTCACGTAGGGCTTCCAGGTAAAATGGAAGACGCCAATGTCTTCGAATTTCAGATAGACAAAAATATTTTTTATTACAAATATATCCCAAATATTTGCATTGGGCATACTTATATTTAAAAAATTATTTGTTGCTCATCTGAAATTTCAGATGAGCAACAGATAATGCTGAAATCGGGCAGCCCTCCCAATGTGATTAAAATATGCAGACAGAATTACTGGTGTCCTTGCTGCTCGTAGGGTGATCTCCAGATTAGCAGCATCAGTTTCACCTGGGAGAAAGGAAAATCCATGGGACCTAATCCACACCAACTGAATCAGAAACTTCAACAAAATCCTCAAGCATTTATGTGCACATAGAACTTTGAAAAGCACTGGCTTAGGTGACCTACCACAAAGTTTGCAGAATCTTCCAACCTTTCTAACCAAAAGCAGCAAATCCAGAGGTTGCTGTACAAATTAAAGAGATCTCCTAAGTTCATGGAAACTTCAGAAATGGTTTCGATTGCATTTACTGCAAGAAAATTGGTTGCTTCTATTTTTCACCCCAACTCTAACATAAAATCCCCTCACTCTTTTGTTGAACGACAAAGGATTTGAGCTTAAATTAGGTCTCTGTTCACACTACTTTGCCTGCCCTTGCCTGTTCTCTCCATAGAGGCAGGGCCTGGACTCTGACCCAAATCTTGCATTAGTCAGGAGAACATGAAGCTGGATTGACTTCATCAGCTTGCCACTAACCCAAAAATTGTGACTCAGACCTGACCTGTCTTTGCAAATATACTCTTTCCTGCAGGGGAAGGACTCCTCACCTTAGCTAATTCACTAGGCCTTCCCTTCATTAACATGAGGATGTCTTGCCATTCAATCAGATATCTAGATATTAATAGGTAGATTAGATAAAGAGACATATTATATATACACATTGTTTTTGTTGATATTAAAATACATGTTTAACTCTTCCAAATTAAAAAGTACAGCATTTCAGAAGGTCGATAAGAATTCTCAAGCCTAAACATTATTACACCCTAAACCATAACTTGTCAAACACCATCAGTCCATTAGCTACCTCCTTTCTGAACTCAAGGCAAATCCAGCTGTAGAAATACATACCAAACATATTGCAATGTTCACACTATACATCACATTTGTCTGAAAATGTGACTACAACATCGATTTTGATTTTCTCAAATATATACCTCTTTTTCTAATATTAAGGGTTTTGATAAAAGGCTAAATATACATCAACACCTCTCCCATATGAACACATATGTATTTAAGGGGCAGTTTAATGTTTATGTTTCTAATGGATTTGCACTGAACTCAAGAAAGCATTGTTTTGCAAGAGACGTTAGCTGTACAAAAGAGTATCTTCTTTTCCGCCTATGAATTTGTTAGCTTAAGGGTAGTTAAGACTCCAATCTAAAAATCATCTGTTTAATTTGCAAGTTAGTACCTTGTATGTTCAAAAGCATTCCAAAAGAATGAAGATGTTTTTTGGGACTCAGAATGTCCTTTAAAATCTCTTATTTTTCATTGGAAAAAAAGTGGAAATTGTTTCCATTGGAAAAAAAATAAATCAAAAGTGTAAAATGACTGAGGGTCTGAGTTAGACTCTGGATCCTCTGGCTCTGGTCACTTTCCTTAGGAAGTCTCCATCAAAGTTTTCAATGGGTAAATGCAATTTTTACCCCACCTATTATGCCAAATCAGAACAATATGCATGCCAGCCTTGCTATAGTAACTGACATTAGCATAGATATGCTAACGTGACTTCACAACTAAAGGACAGAGTCTGGTGCTATTTTACCACCAGCAATTTTCTCCTTAAGATTGGGACCAAGTTGATGACCTAACTTACATTATTTTTCCCTTCAATTTAGTATAGTTGACAGTGAACTCAGTTCTTCCCTCCACATCATGCCTTTGGCCGTGGAGTTCCTGACGGATGTTAGCTGGCTCCAACTTGTCCTCCTTGCTTGCTGAGGTGACAGGACCTCTTTGCACCAGAGGGACTAGAGCCATTTAAGCCAACACCCACACAGGGTGGGACTGATTCTCCCTAGACATAAATCTGCCAGGTTGTCATCAGCTAGATCATCCCCCTACAAGGGCAGAGAAGTAAAAGCAAGCTGAATCATAGATTACTTCACAGCTTATAGCTAATAAAATAACAAACTCAAAAGTTAATGCAATTATTTTCCTGTATTCAAGACCATATACTGAGACAATCAGTTAAAAAGTCCATATATGGCAGGGCATGGTGGCTCATGCCTGTAATCCCAGTACTTTGGGAGGCTGAGGTGGGTGGATCTCGAGGCCAAGAGATCGAGACCATCCTGGCCAAGATGGTGAAACTTCATCTCTACTAAAAATACAAAAATTACCTGGGCATGGTGAGGCGAGCCTGTAGTCCCAGCTACTGGGGAGGAGGCTGAGGCAGGAGAACCGCTTGAATCTGGGAGACGGAGGTTGCAGTGAGCCGAGATTGCACCACTGCACTCTAGCCTGGTGACAAAGCGAGACTCTGTCTCAAAAAAAATAAAATTAAATAAATAAATAAATAAATAAATAAAAGTATATATATATTATATATATATATAGACAGAGAGAGAAAGAAACTCAGGTATTCAAAAATTGTCTAAAGATACTCAAAGTTATTTGCCAAAAAGATGGGATTTAGATTAATGTGTGAATAACATTCTAAATAAAACATTTTTTAAAAAAGCAAATTGTACACTTTAGAAAACCAATAGTATACTTATTGAACTTATACATATTTGTTATACAGAACAGAGCCCTCAGAAATAATGCCACGTATCTACAACTATCTGATCTTTGACAAACCTGACAAAAACAAGAAATGGGGAAAGGATTTCCTATTTAATAAATGGTGCTGGGAAAACTGGCTAGTCATATGTAGAAAGCTGAAACTGGATCCCTTCCTTACACCTTATACAAAAATTAATTCAAGATGGATTAAAGACTTAAGTGTTAGACCTAAAACCATAAAAACCCTAGAAGAAAACCTAGGCAATACCATTCAGGACATAGGCATGGGCAAGGACTTCATGTCTAAAACACCAAAAGCAATGGCAACAAAAGCCGAAATTGACAAATGGGATCTAATTAAACTAAAGAGCTTCTGCACAGCAAGAGAAACTACCATCAGAGTGAACAGGTAACCTACAGAATGGAGAAAATTTTTGCAATCTACTCATCTGACAAAGGGCTAATATCCAGAATCTATGATGAACTTAAACAAATTTACAAGAAAAAAACAAACAATCCCATCAAAAAGTGGGCAAAGGATATGAACAGACACTTCTCAAAAGAAGACATTTATGCAGCCAAAAGACACATGAAAAAATTGTCATCATCACTGGCCATCAGAGAAATGCAAATCAAAACCACAATGAGATACCATGTCACACCAGTTAGAATGGCAATCATTAAAAAGTCAGGAAACAACAGGTGCTGGAGAGGATGTGGAGAAATAGGAACACTTTCACGCTGTTGGTGGGACTGTAAACTCGTTCAACCATTGTGGAAGTCAGTGTGGCGATTGCTCAGGGATCTAGAACTAGAAATACCATTTGACCCAGCCATCCCATTACTGGGTATATACCCAAAGGATTATAATTCATGCTGCTATAAAGACACATGCACACATATGTTTATTGCGGCACTATTCACAATAGCAAAGACTTGGAACCAACCCAAATGTCCAACAGTGATAGACTGGATTAAGAAAATGTGGCACATATACACCATGGAATACTATGCAGCCATAAAAATGATGAGTTCATGTCCTTTGTAGGGACATGGATGAAGCTGGAAACCATCATTCTCAGCAAACTATCGCAAGGACAAAAAACCAAACACCACATGTTCTCACTCATAGGTGGGAATTGAACAATGAGAACACATGGACACAGGAAGGGGAATATCATACACCGGGGCCTGTTGTGGTGTGGGGGAGGGGGAAGGGATAGCATTAGGAGATATACCTAATGTTAAATGAGGAGTTAATGGGTGCAGCACACCAACATGGCACAGGTATACATATGTAACTAACCTGCATGTTGTATACATGTACCCTAAAACCTAAAGTATAATTAAAAAAAAAGAAACATTCCTATTCATAAAATAAATATTAACCTAGAAAAAATAGATATTTGTTATAAAAATATGTTAGATAATATAAACTACCAAAGTTATTTTTGGTAGTTACTTAAAATGAAAACTGAGGCATTCTCAAGTAACACCCAAATTCTTCACCTTTCTTGTACTTTCATCTCCTTCCTTCCTTGTGTTTTCTCAGCGACCAATATGGCCAGTTCAGATAGAAGGATGACTTGACTGGAGGTCAGAAGATATTAATCACACTGTATAAGGAGTATTGTGGGGATAAGAAACAATGTTTCCTCCATAAAAAGACAAGTGGAGCTGAATTGAAAATAGGAAATGTATGGGTGTGGTGGCTCACACCTGTAGTCCCAGCTACTCAGGAGGCTAAGGTGGAAGGATTGCTTGAGCCCAGGAGTTAGAGACTGCAGTGAGCCAAGATCATGCCACTACATTCCAGCCTGGGCCACAGAGGAAGTTCTTGTCTTTAAAAAAAGAAAAAGGAAAGAAAAAAAGAAAGTAGGAAAAATAGCTATCATGCATATGTATCTTTGATGTTGTTGAAGATGCTTTGAATACAAAACCTAAAACTTTACTCATATAAAATATAATTATATTTAAGTTGTCCTGTACAATTTTGTCCAAGCTGTATATGCTTTATGCCAATGAACTCTAATGAGAAGTCATCCCTTGAAATATTAAGGCTGTTCCAGTTACCATTGCTGAGTAACAAATTATCCCAAAGCTTGGGGACTTAAGACATGCTCATGGTTTTGTAGATCATGAATTTGGGATTATCTTAAGTAGGCAACTTTAGCTCAGGGTCTCACATACGGTTGCAGTAGATGTTACCTGGGACTGCAGCCATCTGGAAGCTCCACTAGGTAGGATGTTTGAGAAGGCTCTCTTACCTGGCTGACAGTTGGTCATGACAATTGGCTGAGGTTCAGCTGGGGCTGTTAATAAGAGTGCCTACTATATGTGGCCTCTTTACCTGGTAGTCTTGGGGAGGTCAGGGTTCTTATGTGGTCTCCAAAAGCAAGTATCCTAGTTGCAACACCTTTTATGATCTAGAATTAAAAGTCACTCAGTGTTACCTCTGCTGTATTCTATTGGTTAGCAGTAAATCACAGATTCAAGGGGATAATTAGACATCCTCTCTTGATGGAGGAAAGGCAAGGCTCTGGAAGAATGTGTGGCACTGGAGATGTTATTGCAGCTGTCTTTGGAAATCTGCCATAGATATTCATGGAATTAATTAAAATATACTGGATTTAAATGGAGATAGATAGATTGATTGATTGATGTACATGATTTAAGGTATAGAGTCAGCCCTCCATATCCCTGGTTGTGCATTTGCAGATTCAATCAACAGCAGATCAAAAATATTCAGCAAGAAACATTAATAAAAATAAAACAACAATTAAAAATAGTACAAATAGAAAACAATACAGTATAACTAATCACATAGCATTTACATTGTACTTGTTATCAGAAGTAATCTAGAGACAATTTAAAATATATAGGAGGATATGGGTAAGTTATAGGCAAATGTTACCCCGTTTTATAAAAGGGACTTGAGCATTCATGGATTTTGGTATCTGAGTGGGTCTCAAATATGCATATGATTGTATGGGACTGTATTCACAATGGCAATTGACGATCTGCTGAAAGCAACTCCTCTGGGTTGAGCCTCCACTCAACAAATTACCCCATTCCAAAGACTTGGCATAAGGGAATAGGTGGGAGTTGTTCTCCTTATCGGATCAATCTTATTTAGTAGCATCCCAGCAAAGGCTTAGAGAAGGAAGAAAAAGAATGCAGAAGGAAGAAACGAAGGAGAGGGAAAAAGGAGAAGGGAACGGAACGTATGGCAAGAGAAGGGAGATAAAACATAGAAACCTCTTTCTGCCAGTTCCTGGCCTCCCTGGGATGGGTTACCAGAGCAAACTCAGGACACAACAACTTAATTGAACAGGAACTTGGGTCTCTTTTTGTCATGGCCCATAGGCATGCTATTTGCATGTATACTCTTTCTTCCCTCTGCATATAGATTTACCTGCTGAGACGCAACTCAAAATGAAGAGCTATAAACACAGAGAGGAATCAATGTATTTGTTTTTATCCACTGTCTCTAATGCCCTGATTTTGATATTTTTCCACTTTAGAAGTCATGAAGACTCAGTGTTATGCTGGCTTTTAAAAATACTTTTAGGAGTTAACTTATTTCTCAGAGTTTTGAACAACTTAAATAGTAGAGTTATATCTCCCTTGGAAGTTGGAAAGGATGTACTACTAACATTTTCCTGGCCTTTTTGGAGCATTATCTTTGCTAGATTTCCTATTCTCTAAATTATTTATTCAAACTTCTTAAACCATAAACCAATTAATTTCTATAAAGGTTTAACATTCTCCTAGGCACTTGTGATGAGATTAAAGATTATTAATGGCTTTTCAGAGCCAAGACTCATCTCTTTTTGGATTTTCTAATGCCCTTCATAGCAACATCTTAATATATTTATATTTGCCTGGCATATATTTTTTAATGGGAAGGAAACTGTAAAGTTTATTTTTAACTAACTGGTTGAATGCAAAAAATAGACTTTGCCCTTGGATAGTCCTTGTTTGTAGTGTGGGTATCAGGAGAATGAGGCAAGCCAAGCTGTGAGGAGTCTGTGGGTCATGGCTTTGGCAGCGTGGAACCTGGGACATAGAGTCCCCCTTGATACGGCTGTTCAGCAGACCAACTTTGTTGTAAATATTTAGATAAAAATGGGCTTTAGAGCAGCCACATCTGAAGACCCACAAGGCTGAATGTTACACAGGGTATGTATTCTGCTTTTGGCTTTAACAAATGTCTAAAAGGGAGAAATCCAATTGACTCTTGTTGTTTTAATGTTAATTAATTGCTGTGGTGCCTGTTCATCAAGTGTGAGTGTAGAAACCTGTTAGTTCACTTACCACTGGGGCTGGACTTAGCAGATGGGAAAAATATTATTTTGGCATGTTTTTAATGGCAGCACAATTTATTTTTAACTAGCTCTCTTTGGTGTGTATGAAAGGAGACTACCACCTGTGCTTTGTGGATGAGTGTCAATGATTCGGACAGATTAATTTATGGCTTAGTAGACAACCACAAAAGATTTCTGGGGTAGAACTCACCTTTTGGCCAGCTTGACATGAACTTCAATTTTACTTCATTTTCCCAGGCCTGGAAGATTGTATTTAAGTAATATTATACCAAGTAGAATATAATCTGTACTTTCTCTTAATCATGGAAAGTACAAATAAAGATATAGACTTGTTTCCATACGTCACTCTCTGTGTGTGTGTGTGCGTGTGTGTGTGTGTGTGTGTGTGTGTGTGTGCTGTATAAATCTGACTTACCTAAATTCTGACATTTGTAGCTGCCTTTTCAAATGCTGGAAGCACAGATACATCTTGAATGATGTAAAAGCACATTCGTATTTTTAGCAATAAATCTTTGACTGTAGAATATCATTAAATAAATTGAAAAGCAGACCAATATTAACATCGTGATTTATATGCTACTTGCTGCTAGAGACTTGACATAGAATACTAATTATGAAAATGGTATAGTGCTAGATTTCTTCCTGAATTATTACACACATTATACTTTGCAGGGAGCAGGTTTGACTTAAATGTAAATTACCAGGCCTTTTTTTTTTTTTGCTCTTTCAAAGGGCTATTTGTTGTATTACCCAGTGCTTTTCTGTCCCTCATAGTTGAAATAATTAAGATCATTTGCAGGGCCTGGTTTGCTCATTTTGCTTAGTTACATTGCTGCTATGGTCCATTATGTCTACAGGGGAGCACCATTATTTAATCTGAACATCTGGAATCCATCATGTGTAGTGAAGGACAAGATGTATCCTCATTTTTAAGCCAACTCCATGATAAAATTGATGGATGGGACCAATGTGTACAGGTGAAGAAGATTGATACTTAAGATCTGTATGTTGTGATAGGAAGATCATAAGAGGACTTTTATTCTGCTTCATTTTTTTTTACTTTATTTCATTATATTGTATTTTATTTTATTTATGGCACAGCAATCAGAATCTGATTGAAGATAAACTCATCCTATTTGGATCAGAGCATTAGAAGAAAGAAAGAACTGACACTTCTCAACCTTCTCTAGTTGAAGACTTCTCTTTGCTATAACTACTTGAAGAGTTCAGCAGAAAAATTTTACTGAAGAATCCCTGATCCTCCTTTAAGTAGCTGTAGAGAATATTCACTAAGTGTAATGGGACACGTCTCTCTCATGCCCACTTCTTTTCTCTTATCCCTGCAAGAAAATGAAGTTTTGTTGGAGTCAGAGGTTTATTTTAGTTTATTTTAATCAGAAACGTGTATGAAATCCAAAGCACATGATCTTCATTTTTAATAACGTAAACCATCCCCATGTTTATGTGCTTTCTCTGGTCCTCAACCTTTTTTTTTCTTTTTAATTTTAAGAACATCTGTCCCCACTGCAACTTCACTTTCATCAGGAAATCTAATTACAGAGATAGAAAAGAGTATAGTAGGTGAAGCAAAAGACAGCAGCTCCACCTCTTAATACTGAATACTTAGATGACTGCCAGATGAATAGCTGGATCCTTTTGTGGCTAACTAACTCACCTGGTGTAGAGAAAGACAGTTGATAGATCAAAAAAGTATACAGATAACAGAGAGCAAGTGATATGGATATGAAAGACATTAGGGAGCATACAAATGCAGTTTGGCCAGGATTTATTTCTAGTTATGGACTGATGAGGAGACATGGGGAAAAATTGTCAAATTAAAAAAAATCTTTTTGGCAAATTTAAACTTTGCCTCTATCCTTTTTCTCTTAATCTGCTACCCAGATATGCACTTCAAATAGGAATGTGGGCCTACTGGGGCATGAAATAGTTGAGAGCTATTCAACAATGAGGAGAATGAGAGAAATCTATTTAGAAGGACATTTTAGAATTTAAGCCAGTTGAACCTTAATAGTCACAGATAATTTAACATGACCCCTAAACCATTAGGGGGGTTTTTACTACAAGGACTTGGCTCTGTATTAACAATGTCATCCTTCTTAGAAATTGATAACTATAGAAGTTATCCTATGTGGAGTAAGATAAGAATGACTGCTCTTCATGTTTACAAGAGATTAGAGTGGATAAGAACCAGGTGAAACAGGAATCCCAAGGGATCTCCTTCCTTCTCAGAGTCATAGCCATTCCAGGGAATCTGCACATTTTCTGGCTTTCCCATTTCTATCAGATGGTTACTTAGGAACAAATGAAAATCAGCAAAAGTGCCATGATAATTATCACAAATTCGTATGAAATAATGAGGCAGTTGAATGCATTTTTTCTGTCTTATCTCTGTTTGTCAATGAGCTAAACAGTGTGTTCAGGTCCCTCTGAATACTTGGAGGAGCAAGATTCTTTAGCCTTGTCTCACTGATTCCCAAAGTTTATCTAAGTCTTTCCAGAGGAGGACCTCTATTGTCAACACTTGATAGCCAAACCCTTCCTTTGTTTTTTTCCTTCTATACACTACTTGTTAATCAACTTGCACAAAACCAATTTCTGGTTCAACTTTGTCCTGAGCTGCTAACTGGCTATGACTTTATTTTACAGGTGCAGTAACTTTGTTAGCTGTTATTTTGAGGAGCTCCAGCCATGGGCTCATTTGATAGATTTAATTGCCAACATCTTGAACAAACCCCTTGATTTTAAAATTTTAATTTAGCATGTTTAACATGAAAGAGGATTGCCGAATAAGTGTCCCATTTGATTTACTCTATAAGTAATACAGCTGTTTGTCTTTATTTGAAAAATAAAGGTAGACACTTAGAAATGAAAGATGAAAGCTTGGAATGTGACCTGTAAGTCCAGAAATCACAGACCAGAAAGCAAGAAAGGAACATGAACAGCACATGTCAAGTATCCAGGAATTTCTAAGTATAATGCAGAACTTGGGGCATGAGAAATAATCTCTCTCTCTCTGTGCGTGTGTGTGTGTGTGTTTTCTTTATCTGAGCATGTTTTTTTATATACTGCCTTTTCTGGTAACTTCATTAGGTCTGTATAATTATAGTTTGCTTCAACCTTAGTCTGCATCAGTATTCATTATTATCTATTTGGTGCATTGTAGCAGCATAAATATAACTAAATTACTAGGGTCAAACCATAATGGGAGCTGTTGTGATGGTAATTAGAGCAGAAATATAGTCCTTTTTTGGTAAAACTTGCAGAATTGTAGCATGAGGTGTGTTCTTATAGGGTACAATTAAAGCCAGGTTGTGGGTTCAAGGTGGTAAAATGATGGATAATGAAGGTACACCATTAATCACAGTTCCAAAAGATGCTCTGTATCAATTCTTTTCTCTCTGAAAGGTAGCTCAGAGGTTGATGCTAAGACAAAAACCAACAGAGGGCTTAGAGGTAAGATGCCAACTTCCGTGCCTTCACTAATTGTCACTAGAAAGCTGAAACTGTATCGAACTCTTTAAAAGGAAAAAAAGAAACTAGTAGAAAGCATCTCAGTGTGGTTATTGAAATCATTAAATTTGAACTTAGTGGAGCAATGCTTTAATTCTATGTGTCTTTGCCATGTTGGACTGAGTCTCTCACATAACATCTTTAGAATTTAGAATGTGCTATAACTTGGAGCGGAATCACCCTTATTGTCTTTACACACAGCCCATAATCCTGAAAAGCAGAAACAGAATTCCACTCTTAACCCCCTCAGTTTGCAGAATGTCTAAGTGTAGTGACTCTAGACTCAATGTGAGGTATGTGGAAATGCTTCAGAAGAGAACAAGGCCTCGGCTGGGCGCAGTGGCTCACGCCTGTAATCCCAGCACTTTGGGAGGCTGAGGCGGGCGGATCATGAGGTCAGGAGATCAAGACCAGCTTGGCCAACATGGTGAAACCCCATCTCTACTAAAAATACAAAAAAAATTACCTGGGCATGGTGGTGCATGTCTGTAGTCCCAGCTACTCGGGAGGCTGGGGCAGGAGAATTGCTTGAACCCAGGAAGCAGAGGCTACATACAGTGAGCTGAGATCGTGCCACTGCACTCCAGCCTGGGCAACAGAGCAGGACTCCGTCTCAAAAACAAAACCTAAAACAAACAAAAAAAGAGAACAAGGCCTCAAAATTAACAAATATCTGCTGATTAACTTTTTTCACTAGCAGCAAAAAAATTGGAATAATTCTCAACCAGTGAAATATCTCATTAAAAACCCAATTAAAAAGTCTGTGTACCCAAAATGTAAGAAAGGCTTGCTCTTTAAGCACACAATTGAAGCCTTTGATGTCTACCTAGGATTGCTCATTTGATCTCATTTGATGTACTCCTGGAAACTTAGTAAGTATGTAGGCATGCGGCATGTTCAAGGTCGTAGGCAACCTTTTCCAAACTAAGTTCTTTGCCCTTCATGGCTTTGTGGAATTTAAAAAATCAATTATATTTTATACTCTGAAATAAAAGTTTCCAATTTGGAAAGATGTTTAAAGTCAACGGTTGTTTCTCCAATAACTAACACAGAGCTTGGCATACAGTAGGCACCTTATAAATTTCTCTTTGAGAGAATGAATAAATGCCTGGGTAAAGCTAATTGATACAAAAGGGCTCAATAAACTTGTGAATATTAAATGAAAAAATGGAAAAACAATTGGCCTCTAATAACCACACAGAAAACTGAGTACATGTTTTCTGCTCTTTCTGATTTTCCAAAACACACAGTTAAGAAGTTTCTCATGTAGCCTGACACATAAAGGTTTAGATGGTGAGTTATTTATTGGATATACTATTCATTATATAATCATTTGTGTATCTTTTGACATTAATTGTTCAACTTTGTATGATTTCATAATCAGTTATAGATTATTTGAGCCCTCCTTTTTTAAGGCTACTTTCAAATTGTATAGTTAATTTTATAGTTTTTTATAAAGCTACTCAAGTGATTCATTATTATAGATAACTTTGATTATACGTTCAAATTTTAAAAACTGATTAATAAGCCAACATTATGGCAGATTGAATAATTTCTTAGCAAATATATGCTTTTTTTTCCTTATGCCCATGCTTGACTTTCAGCTCAGCTGTTGGTCCATGGATGTTCGTAGATGTGACTTAAACAGATGCTTGAATTGTGCTATACATTTAGGCTTGCTCTCCCGCTCTGTCTTCTGCCATGAGAAGCCACTGACCGGGATAAGGAAGATGAGAAATAGTCATGGCAGATCTATACCCAGCCTATAGCTCTGAGCAAAACTCTGAGTCAAACTCGGCCTGCAATTTGCAGACTCCCTGCTGGCCTGAAAAAATTCGTGTTCATTGTGGAAAGCCAATTTTCATTGTGGAAAGCCAATGAAAAGAAAATTCGTGTTCATTGTGGAAAGCCACTAAGTTTGTCTGTTTTGTTATGTAGCATTGTTGAGAAAATAGTAGACTGATACAACTGTTTATGAATTAACACCATTTTGCTTTTAGGCACATCTTCTTTATGTAGGTACCGTAACATAGGTTCCCTTGATCTTTGCCATAATCTCATAAATCAGACACTATCATATCCCCATTTTATACATTTGAAATCTGAGGCCTCAAGAGGTGAAGAGAATTCCTAGACAAGACTTGACACCAACTTGTACATCTCCAAATCCCATGTTACACGCTGCTTCATCCATTTAAATGTAGCTTAGTTAGCCTGCCTCTCTGGTACCTAGTAAGTCCTCAATAAACACTAATTTGCTTACCTTTCCTTCTTCTTTCTTAAATTGTATGTATCAAGTTAAATGGAAATGTTTGATTAAAATAAGCTAACCAAGGCCTTGTGTAGAATAGAAGGAGGTATTGTGCATGTTTTCTCCTGATAAGATGCTTCTAATATAGGAATGGATGCAAAAATAAACTAGTATAACAATAAGAAGCTACCTGTCACATATTTAACAAATAGATTGAGATAGTAATTAAAGCATTGTCTCAATACAGACATAATTGAAAAGCTGAGTACTTCAGTTAATAGTCACTTTAGAAGGTGAGAAAAAAAGAGATCTATGCAGTAATAAACAAAGTAGACTTAATTCATTAGTACTATTCAATCTCTCCTTAAACTGAAGATTAAGAGCTGATTGTAAGTATTTTATAGTCAGCATACTTATACTGTAATAGTACTACAGAAACAGTCTCTCCAAATGCATATTTAAAGTTGTGTAGCTCCTCCTTACATGCATATTTGAAGTCAAATTATGATTTTTGGAAAAGAAGATCTATCCCTAAAAGACATTTCTCATTCACTATGACTGTCTGGAATACCCTCCCCTTCCTTGTATGCTTGGTACAGTAAATTCCTTTATATTTAACTTAAGGACCACCTCTTTTCCTATGCCTTTTCTGATCTTCCCATATAGATGGTCTTTCTCTCTCCTACACTTCAGTAACAAAAATGGCAAAATTTTAATAGATTTTGACATTGTTTTATTTATGTCATCTTCCTATCTTCTTCCTCTACTCAGCTCTTTGAAGGCAGGTGTTTTGACCTTCCTTGTTAGCAAATTTAGTGTTTGACATACAGTAGGCACTGCCAAAACATAGAATAAATAAATAGACACAGTTAAGTCTTAAGAACTCAGTCTTTAGGAAGAGAGAAAAACAGAAATGTAATCATTTATAAAGAGAATTGAGAGAACTAATTCTTGTTGCCAAGAGGCCAGGACTCAATTAGGCTATTGAATTATGATCAGTGGGGAAGAGAACTGAAAACAGAAAAAGAAAGAGAGGTTCAATGTGTTCAATGGAAAGACAAGAAAGGATAATAGAGATAGAATATTTTCTTTTAAGTAGTTGAAATATTTCTTTTCTTTCCTTGAATCCTTGAGGCACTCTGTCAGCTGGCATTAAATATTTATCAGAGAATTTTTTATGCACATAAATAGGCTACATGTATGACTAATGTAATGGTGGCCTTACATAATCAAGTTAATAAAATTAAATGTATTCACTTAAAAAATCAATTCAGAACATTTTCTTCATTCCATCAACTTCAATGCTTATGTTCTTCCCCATTGTCCCATTGCCTTCTGCTGTGAGGGAGAGGGCGAAAATGAAATGATTATTGCAAGCCTAGGCTCTCACAAGATAAATATAATTCGGACATTACTTCAGCTTACTACTGGAAATGAACCCTGGACAAAATTCCCTTTTATCTCCCTCTCATCCACCAGACATACTAAACATAAAACTTTAGAGTAATGATAACACATTCTGAACTAAATTTAAGTGTTTTGAGTCTCAAAATAACCGACTTTGGGTCTTACACAAGCTACTGATTCCAAGTATGTAACTGACATATGAAATGAGAGTTACACAGTGACACCAGTTGTTTCCAAAGGCTTAGTACACTTGCTGCAGTCTTGCGATGCAGTTTAGAATGAGGTGAGAGGAACTGAACATTGAGCTCTTTCTCTTAGTAGCTGTGTCCCAACATCTTCCTGCTAAAATAAATGGGGCTAATAAAAGCCATCTTAAATGGAGCTAATAAAACTTATCTATACAATTGAGGTACTAAATGAGAAAATGTAGATACTGGAGGCAATGAAAGCCTTCGATAAATATTAATGTCATCTATCTATCTATCTATCTATCATCTATATCTTCCATCTACCTATCAATCATCTATGTATCTATCTGAGATTTTGGAGTGGTAACCAACATTAATTCCCTTGACTGAGTAAATTCACTTGACTGAGGCTTTCAATGTGCCTTCTGTGAAGAAATTACAGTAAAGCAGTATAGAATCTTAAGTTGGATATTCCGGGTTTGAACATGGGTTTTGTGACCTTACCCAAATGTATTTAATTTTGCTGGCCTTAACTTTTTTTAAGATGAAAGTAATAATAGTTTTTACCTCTTTAAATTATTATGAGGATTACATGATCTAATACCTGTTGCAGCACTTAGAATAATAATTGACAAATAGCGAAGAGTAATAAATATTAGTTATTATTTCCACAGTTCTATAAAGAGTAACTCAGTTTTGACTTTCATTTTATCTCTTTTTTTCAGATGAAAAGGGAAAAAAGAAACTGCGTATAAATAGTACTAGAGTAAGTTAAAAAGAACTATCTTATAATGTGCTTAAAATTATGGAAAGTTTCTGAATTCTAGCCTGAAATTTAAGAACAGTTCTAAGTAATTCCTTAAATTTGTTAAGTCTTTTCAATCTTTGGGTTTTCAGATAAGACAACCAAAGGACTGACTGCAGTAAATAGAGCTTTTGAAGGCATTATCATTCTATTAACAATAAAGCTGAGAGGATAGATTTGTTTTATGATTTTCACATGATATTACTTGTCGGTGACCTGAGCTGAATTTGAACTGGCATTCTTGAAAAGAAAGATTCCCTTTACAAATCCTTTAACCTCTAATGCAGTCATTTTAATTCACAACAGGCTAGAACCTTGCATAATTGTTCTCAGCTCAATACAATCTTTAACAGCTTTTGATTTACATATTGGGCAGCTGTTTTGAATAAGAAGTTGTCCATCATGGATCCTTTTGTCATCTGTCCAAGGAATGTATTTATAAATGGTTCCAATTAGAGTAATGAAGGTTTCATGTGAAAACAATGATCAATAGCCAACCTTAAAAACAATATAAGTCAAAGACAGATGTAAACTGTGACCAGGCATAACAAAGTCAAGTTATCTATGGGGAATGTATACCATCGCTCCTGGAAAACAAATAGAAATTTTCAAGTCTTTGACTATTGGACAGATGTTGATTCCATGACACAGAAGCATTTAGATTCTGTGTTAAATAAATCATTGA
Organism: Homo sapiens; assembly: GCF_000001405.40. Lineage (NCBI taxonomy): Eukaryota > Metazoa > Chordata > Mammalia > Primates > Hominidae > Homo > Homo sapiens. The sequence continues at coordinate 7,249,084 of NC_000020.11, read as the reverse complement.
CCCACATATGACTGAGACTATGCAGATTAATGAGAACAACCGTGGCCAGGGAAAAGGCAGCTCAGTGAAGCCAGCTAGATCAGATCCTCACTGTGATTATGGACTGCACCCCATCAGCCTTCAGGAACAGATGTCTGTTGCTATAAGAAGGAGCCACGTTGATAGTGAAGTTTCTGTACAAACACGTTTCAGACTATGTCAGACACATCTGGTCAAGGGCTTTGTAATAGCTTTATTTATTTCTTGCCTGAACTGGAACGTCAGAAGCATGCACTCCACATTAAGCCAAGAGTTCCCTTTGTTCCACACGGCTGCCACAGCTGGAACCTTTTGTTGGATGACACAGCCAGATCTTCTGTAGAGACCATTATATTCTTTGGCGTATTTCAGTGAGTTTGCATCTTTTAATCCACCTCAGCAAGCAGTGGGGAGTTCATAAGGGCCATGCACAGAGCCTTCTCTTAAAACTGTACAGGAACACCAGCTGGGATTGCAAAATTGATAGCATCAAGGTGGCCTGCTACCAAGTTGGCCTTAGTGAGATGTGCTCTCTGCCATAGCCCTGTTTGCTTAGATCATTTAGGAAAAAAACATCAAAACAGAAGTAACTTCTCATTCTTGTGTGTTGAGGTTGCTCATAGGTTACTCTCTCCAGCCAAAAAGAAAAAAAGCCAAAGAAATTTTGTCATAGACTATAAGATCTGTGTATGATGAACAGTTTCATGAGGGTTACTATAGAAACATCTAGCCTACAAAAGTAGAAGGGACCAGTTAAAATGAAGTTCTGCCTAGATTTCTAATATAACTAAAGCTGTTTTTTTCCCTCTCCCCCTCTCTTCTGTCTCTCTCTTTTTTTCTCTCTTTAACCACATCAATTGACAGCCCAATTTCCACATATAAAATAGGAGTCATAAGTTAAAAGAAGGTGGGGGCTGAAAAACAAAAGTAGATATTCAGAAATGTGCACCTAGAAAAGTCTTTCAGACACATTGAGTTGATTTTGTTTGGCCTGATTATCAGAAGTTCAGTGCCGTTTTTAGTTTTCGGGAACACAGTCTCAAACATGAGAGTAGCTCTACTCCAGCCCCGGGGCACCCGCCCTCACTTTGCCTTTGCCACATCCTTCCTACCAACTGGCCCCCAACTCAGAATAAAAGCTGGTCTAGCCTTTCCAATTGGCAAGCCAATGACATTCACCTGCATTTCTCTTGCTAGTGATCCTCTTAACTAATGCTTAAGCTCCAATTTCTTGCCATAGTGCTTATCACAGATTGTACTCCTAAGACTGACCTCCAGATTTATCTCCTGAAGCATCCCCATCAAGAGTGTCTGATGGGGGCCAGACGCAGTGGCTCATGCCTGTAATCCCAGCACTTTGAGAGGCCAAGGCAGGCAGATCACGAGGTCAGGAGATCTAGACCACCATCCTGGCCAACATGATGAAACTCCATCTCTACTAAAAATACAAAAATTAGCTGGGCATCATGGTGCATGCCTGTAATTCCAGCTACTCGGGAGGCTGAGGCAGGAGAATCGCTTGAACCAGGAGGTTGGAGGTTGCAGTGACCTGAGATCACGCCACTGCACTCCAGCCTGGCAACACAATGAGACTTCATCTCAACAACAACAACAAAAAAAATAGTGTCTGATGGGAAGAAATTCTCCTCCAGGGTCTACTCCATCCCGAAGACATTTCTGAAATGATTGAGAAAGCCCTCAAGCATAACTTGTCATTGATGTTGCTAGGGCATTCTATTAGGAAGCAGATGCAGAAAGAGCTGTATGTAGTTAGGGGCATGCACATGTGTCTTTGCTCAATATAGGGGGTTGTATACAGTTGTTCTCCCCACACAGCATACAGGAAGTTTAAAATTAAGCTATACTTTACTTACATGGATAAAAGTCTTGATTTTTAGTTTTAACTAAGTATTTGCTGTTTTCTGTTCAAAAAGAATGCTGGGGGTTCATGTCAGTGACAGAGTGAAAAGCTAGAGCAGTAGCATCAAGATATAAACCAAGGCTCATTGTCTCTCTTTTCATATATATTACTTTTTAATAAATCTATGTTTTTCTAATTACAGAAGTAGTATAAGCTCTTTAAAAATTTAGCAAAATAATAGATGAGCACAGAACAGAGAAAGTTAAAGAAATGAATTTTATGCAAGTAAACATTATTATTTTCTTATATTTTCTTCCCATCTTTATATATATATAATTTTTAGCAAAAATAGTAACACACTACATATGCTATTTGTAACATGCTCTTATACTTACAAGTAAAGCAAAAAAATATATAATATGTCAGTTTAGTATACGTAAATCATATGTAAATGAAATGCCATAATAAAAATACATCACACATAATTTAAATATAATATGTACATGAATAAGTTAAGTTATAATATGTACATGAATAAGTTAATATGTACATGAATATATAAGAACACATCTAAGTAACACTTTTTTTACAAAAAATTTTTTATAGCTACACAACATTACACTATGTGTATCATAAATATTTTTACAATTTTTCTGTTTAACTTTTAAGCCATTTCCAAATTTTTACTATTAAGAAATAGAAAGTACAATTTAGACTAAATGTTTTAAAAATATTCATGATTAGTTATTTGAGATTAAATACTAGAAGTTGAAATTTTGACAACTTTTAGGACAATTATAGAACTTTTAATGATTGTTGTCCAAATTCAGCAAGGCTTCTAATAGAATATACCTACAGGATATCAAGGAGGTACAAGAAAAGATACAAATTTTTTAGAGGCAATACTAAAGTATACTGTCTAGGGATGCACTGTTTGAGTGCTAAAACCATAAAGAAATGCAAGGAAGTGGTTAATATAAAAGTTAGCAGAGCAGGCCAGGCGCAGTGGCTCACGCCTATAATCCCAACATTTTGGGAGGCCGAGGTGGACGGATCACTTGAGGTCAGGAGTTCGAGACCAGCCTGGCCAACATGCTGAAACCCCGATTCTACTAAAAATACAAAAAATTAGCTGGGCTTGGTAGCACATGCCTGTAGTCCCACCTACTTTGGAGGCTGAGGCAGGAGAATAACTTGAACCTGGGAGGCAGAGGTTGCAGTGAGCCAAGATTGTGCCACTGCACTCCAGCCTGGGAGACAGAGTGAGACCATCTCTAAAAAATCAAAAGTTAGCAGAGAAATGAGTATTTGAGGATGGGACACATGGAGAAGACTTCTGAGGTGAAGGGCAATGTTCTATCTTTTTACCGAGGTGAGGAATGCAAGGCTATTCACCTTCTAACAATTTGTTAATTTATTTGTTTGGGTGGCTTTTTTACATTTTATTTTATAATGCAAAATCTAAAAGTAAAAATCTAGATTTGATTCCAATTCAGCTACTGGGTATAATTAATTACAAGAGTAAATTCTGACAATCCTGTGAACCTCAGTTTTTTTTTCAAGTGTCAAATTAGACTATGCATCTTTGCATGTCTGCATCTAAATTGATTATGTTATGATATTCTATTATTTTAAGGCAAGTCACTCAGGGACAGGGGATCCCACAAGACTGTGAATACCAGGAGGTATCATTCATTAATTGGCACCATTAATTGGATCATTGGGGGCCATGTTAAAGGCTGCCTATCACAGAAATATCACAGGTTTTGGAGTCAAGTATTCGTGATTTTTATATCCTGTTCCACTATTTCCTAGCTATTTTACCTTAAGCAGACAAAATAATCTTGTTGTGTCTCAGTTTTCTCATTTATAAAATTGGGATAATATTTACCTCTTTGGAACGAATCCTACCAAATATATCTCATTTCTCTTTTTTAACAGAAGTAGCAGTCTATGTCTAGAGCTAGTGTATTTTTATTTCAACAAAGTATTCGGTGATAAATTCCTTGACATCCTTGAGGTCAAGATGAAAAATGGAAGATTTGGGATTGTCCAAGGGAACAGGGCCCTCAAGAAAGAAGGCTTCTGATGCTATTGCAAAACAATATATTCCTGTCTGTTTCAAATTCAACAAATTTATAACCTTCTTGAATAAAAGCATTAAGTAATGAAAGTATTAAGTTTATGCCTGACACAAAACTAGAAGAATAGCTAATCCTTTGGAGGACACATTCAAGATTCAAAATCATATTAACAGATATGAATGATGTGCTCAGCTAAGTAAGACATTAACTAATAAAGACAAAGTTACAGTACTCTGTTTAAGGTCAATGATACATTTACAAAAATACAGAATTGAGAAGGCCTTCTGTCATGGCTCAGATTTGTAAGATAGTTTAGCATTTCCACAATTTATCTTTACCTTTATTAGCTTGGAATTGACAATGCTAGGATCTCAGGTTAGTACTTTTTGTATCCAAAATCCATGTTCTGCCTATATCTACTATAGCTATTCCCTCTGTCTGCCTTCTATGCTATTCAAACATGTCACCTCATATCTCTAAATATGCTTTCAGTTACAAAAGCCACCAACCAAATAAGGCCATTTAAACTTAAATTAATTAAAATTAAATTAAAAATTTAGTCCTTCAGACATGCTAGGCAGATCTCAAATAATCAACAGCAAAATGTGGCTAGTGGCTACTATATTATTGGATGGTACAGAAACAGAACATCATCATTGTAGACAGTTCTAGACAGCAGTGATATAGAGCAGGGCTTTTCAATGGGCCAGTTCTACCCTACAGGGGGCATTTTTTGGAATCTAGTGGGGTACTGTCAGTTTTCACAATAATTTCATAAGAAAATAATACATAATAAAAATTGTTCTACTTTCTCATAATTTTTTATTATCTTGTAAAATATTTAAACAGACAAAAGTCCTATTTGGAGTTATCTGAGTCTAGAACTGAACTGTTAAATATACAATGCAAATAGTTTTAATATATACTATCTTTTATTGGAATGTTCCTATCATGTGAATTCAGGTACTCTGTGACTTGGCTTAGTCTGTTCAGTGTTTAGAAAAATCACATCATGAACAGAAACACCACTTATGGTGTTTGAGTAGCAAATAAAAGTCTACTTGTATCTCTCATTGAACACAGCCAAGAACTCTGAGGAGCATACATGGAATTGAGAACTTTGAAGGATAATTAGTAGCAGGCAGATTAGAAAAGAATACTAGAATTTAAAATGCCACCAAACTAGAGATGAATTTATCATTTTTCCCTTCTAATCTTCCTACTGCTTAGCCATACAAGAGCAAAGTAAACTCAAAGAAAGGAGGAAATAATAAAGAAAATAACAAAATTAGTAAAATTGAAAACTAACAAACAATCCAAAAACAGAAAAAAAAAATCAAACCAAAGAGTTGTCTGTTTGAAAAAAAAAATAAGATGGCTAAATTTCTAAGAAAAATGACAGAAACAGAGGGGGAAGATATAAATTACCAATACCAAGAATAAAAGAGAAAATACATTACAAATACCCACAGGCTTTAAAAAGATGAAGAACTACTGCAAACAACTCTGTATACGTACATTTGAAACTCAGATGAAATGGACCAATTCCTCAAAATCACTAATGTTCAAAACTCATTCAAACTGAAATAGATAGCCTATTAAGCCCTAAACTGTTAAGGAATTGTAATCTATTGTTTAAAATCCCCACAAGTAAGTCTCCAGGTCCAATAGTGTCACTGGCAAATCCTACAAACATTTTGGAAAAAATGACACCAATTCTATTCCAGGAAACAGAAGAGGAAAAACACTTCTCAGTATTAGCCAGCATTACTGCAACACCAAAAGCAGACAAAGACAATTTAAGAAAAGAAACCTACATACCAATATCTCTTATGAAGATAGAAAAAAAAAACCCAACAAAATATTAGAAAATCCAAACCCATCAACATATAAGTGAACAATGATAGTAAAGGAATAATGAACCACAGCCAAATGGTATTTGTTCCAGAAATGCAATGAGGTCCAATATTCAAAACTCTATCAGTGGGCTGGGCACAGTGGCTCATGCCTGTAATCCCAGCACTTTGGGAGGTCAAGGCAGGTGGATCACCTGAGGTCAGGAGTCCAAGAGCAGTCTGGACAACATGGTGAAACCCATCTCTACTAAAAATACAAAAATTAGCTGGGTGTGGTGGCAGGTGCCTGTAATCTCAGCTACTTAGGAGGCTGAGGCAGGAGAATTGCTTGAATCCGGGAGGCAGAGGATGCAGTGAGCAGAGATTGCACCATTGAACTCCAGCCTGGGTGACAGAGTGAGACTCCATCTAAAAAAAAAAAAACAAAAAACACACAATTCTCACGATGTAGCCAACCACATTAACAATAAAAACAAGAATGATCTCTTTAACCCTTATGCCACTGCATAAGGGTTTTCTTCACTATGCTATCTATACCTGATTTATTCTTTAAAAAACACAATTCAGAAATCATTCCCTCTTCACTGTGTCTGCTTCCACCCTGACACTAAGTAGGACAGGTTCTCTAACTCTTTCTAATAACTAAAACCATTGGTTAAAAATCCAGATAAATCTCCACTACAGGATGTTTTCTATGAAATTGCAATTATCCTTTTAATTGTCTATTTTCTGCCTTAGGCAAAAGATTTTTATTTTTTTTCTTTAGGACACTCATTTCTAAATTGGAGTTCAGTGGTGTGATCATAGCTCACTACAGCCTCTACCTCCCAGGAGCAAGGGATCCTCTTGCCTCAGCCTCCTAAGTAGCTGGGATCACAAGCACATGCCACCACACCTGGCTAATTTTATTTTTTGTAGAAACAGAGCCTTGCTTTATTGCCCAGACTGGTCTTGACTTGAAGAAAGAAGAAAGTAAGCCAAGCATGGCAGCACATGCCTATAATCCCAGCATTTTGGGAGGCTGAGGCAGGAAAATTGCTTGAGGCCAGGAATTCAAGACCAGCCTGGGCAACAAAGCGAGGCCCTGTTGCTAAAAAAATAAAGTAATAGCTTGGTGTAGTGGCATGTACCTTATGGTCCCAGCTACTTGGGAGCCTGAGGCAAGAGGATTGCTTGAGCCTGGGAGATTGAGGCTGTGATCATGATCACACCACTGCACTCCAGCATGGGTGACAAAGCAAGACCCTGCCTCACACACACACAAAAAAAGTATGGCAAAGGTACTTTACTCCAGAAAAATGAGAAAAGGGGTGCTCACAAAATTAAGTAATTGTTCTACAGAAAGCGATTCCTCCAGTAAAAATAACATCAGCCTTCATTTTTCTTTAGGATTTGGGTTATAGGATTGGTAATTCAGCGTGAAGTTCACGGATGCCTGTAAGTAAACTGGAATCTGAATATACAAAGTTAAGTCAATGTTTCACTCTTAATTAATGAAAGGTGATCCCTAATTTGGGGGAATATTATATCAGTCAAGATGAGGAGTGCCTTCTTTTGCATAAAGACAGCAGAGAAAGATCCAAGAGCCAGAGTGGATCTCAAGTTTTATAAACACCCTGGTAATGAGACTGCTAGTTTGTTCATTTGATCCTAGGTTATGTGAAGAGCATGTCTGGCAAGAATGAATGCAATCTTTCAACTTTTTGCCACAGTGAACAGGTTCTTATTAGTACACTCAGCTTCATTTTTCTTCTTATATCTAAAACATATTCAGGGGGAAACTGATATATTAGGTAAGCCTACATAAACGATCAAAGTTTTGCAGACAGAAATGTCTGGGGATAGACTGGTTAAAAAATTGATGCAGCTGATCAAAAAAGGAAGTGGTTTTTAAATTCAATGTGGGATTATAGCTCCAGCTTAGCAGAGAAAAGAAAGTGCTTAAAGGAAATAAATAATGATACTTTCATGTTAGGGAAAAATGGACAATGACCACTCAAACACTAAACAGTCTGAAGCAGACAGAGGATATGAATTTTCTCTTAATGGATATTTAATTAGGAGTGAACAAAATGGTTCTGAGGATTTCCTCTAGGTCTAGATTTCTAATGGGAGATGGAAATTTAAAATACTTTGATCTCTACATCTGAACATTTTCACTGTTCTTTATTACTGCTTATTTCTTAATTAAATACCTATGTACTACCACTTTGGGTCGGCCTTTCAAATCCTCCCAGCCCTTTTCCCTTTCCTTCCCTTAGTAGATTGAGTGCTTTAAGAGTTCCAATCTCCCCTCACTTTCTGTAGCCTCCTTACTACCACTTGCCTATGTGTCATGTGACTGTTCCATTATTTTCCCTGAAGTGCTGGAGTCTATTTTTTCCACATCTTAATACTGAGTCTAGCCATGAGATGTTTTGGTCAAAAAGGATGTTAGCAAATGTGACGCTTGCAGAGGATCACAAATCAGCATATGAGCTTCTGGTTCCTCTCTTGCTCTTACATCAGTGTTATGAGAATATGCCTGAGCTAGTCTCCTGGAGAATGAGAGCTATGGAACAGGCTGGGACACCCACTTCACTCCGGCTGAGTACATACTAGATCAGTCAACAGCTAGCCAACACCCAGACATATAAGCCAGCAAGTCAAGATCAGCAGAGCCACCTAACCAACCTGCAGGCGGTTAGGCCTTTTAGAAGGAATCTCATATAATTTAGCATTGTTTTCTCCCTTTCTCCATGATGAGACATCTTCTTTATTGGAGAGCTTGTTTGGTATCAGTGTAAACAATTTACCTGGTCAGCCAAATGGCAGCTTCACTCTTTCCTCTATTGGCACCTGCTGTGATACCGTTTCTCACACCTGGCCTTTGGCCATACGCTTCTATTCATGGTGCTTTTTGCCAAGGTGTCTTCAACTTTGAGAAATCTTGCATATCTTCATATTATGTCTGTATCCACAAAACTCAGATTATTTAGGTCTTCTGGCATGCATGTTATGACATGGGGAGCATTGACATCCTTTTCCACACTTCTCTGAAATATCAGGAGACCAGAGAGTGAGAGAAGGAAGAGTCTACCTGTACCTGTCTTGCTTGTTTTTGCTCTATAGATTATGCTGACATGGAGAACATTTCTATGAATCACTGTCATCTAGACACTAAAACCTAGTCTTGACCTGGGAGCAAGAAACAGGTCTCTTCTGCCCCTGTAAAGCCCTCATTCCTGTCCAGACTTTCTGTTCTTCAGGCCATACCCCAAGATTCAGTCAGAAAGCAGTCTCCCTAATTCCTTCTTAAGAACTCACCCATGCTGAAGGTCTCTCCCTCCTCTCTGAAATTCCCTCTCACCCCCATCAAATGAAACTTTATTTTCCATTCAGGGAATCCACAGGTCGTTTATCAATTGTCTTATGCAATATTGCTTAAGTCATAGTCTCTATGCTAAGTTGCCTTTAGGTCTTGTTTTTGAAGTTGTAAAATATCTGGCTTGTGCTAATCAATAGCCTAGATTTTTCAGACTATTGTCCCTGACATGAGTTTCAGGAGGTTGTTTCAGCATTCAAAACAAGAATTTGACATTTTCTTCTCTTTGTTTCATCTCTTTTATGTATGGTATGTTTCTGGTGAAACATTCAGGTGGAGCATAAGGGGAAGATTATATATCAGGAAAATAGGGTTTATTATTTTTTATTAATATCTAGCAGTTTTATCCTGACACTGTTAACAAAATATGAAGTACATATATATTAAGTAGCTTGATTTAGCCATTCCACAATACATGCATATTTCAAAACAACACATTGCATATAATAAATATATATAATACTTGTCAATTAAAAATATTCTTTAAACTAAAAGATAATGGCTTAGATGAGATGGCCCAGAAGAGTTTACACAGTGAGAATAAATAAAGATTAAAGGCAAAATCCTGGAGAGCATTAACATTAAAGGGACAGAAAAAGAAAAAAGAGGAATCTGTGAGGGAAGTAACAAGAAAGAGACAAAGAATGAAAAAAGAAAACCAGAAGAGGCTGGGTGCAGTGGCTCATGCCTGTAATCCCAGCACCTTGGAAGGCTGAGGGGGGTGGATCACTTGGGTCACAAGTTCGAGACCAGCCTGGCCAATATGGTGAAACCTCATCTCTACTAAAAATACAAAAATTAGCCAGATGTAGTGGCAGCCACCTGTAATTCCAGCTACTGGGGTGGCTGAGGCAGGAGAATTGCTTAAACCCAGAGGCAGAGGTTGCAGTGAGCCAAGATGGCGCCAATGAGATTGTGCCTGGGTGACAGAGCAAGATCCCATCTCAAAAAAAGAAAAGAAAAAAGAAGAAAGGCAGGAAGGAAGAGAGAGACAGAAAGAAAGAAAGAAAGAAAGAAAGAAAGAAAGAAAGAAAGAAAGAAAGAAAGAGAGAGAGAGAGAGAGAGAAAGAAAGAAAGAAAGAAAGAAAGAAAGAAAGAAAGAAAGAAAGAAAGAAAGAAAGAAGGAAGAAAGAAAGATGGAAAGAAAGAAAACCAGAATAGTCTGGTGACATAGGAATCAGGAAAAGAAGAGAAGTTTAAGAATGAAGGAATGGATCTATTATGTTAAATTGGAATACAAGGTTGTGTAATAATAAAGAATTCTGTCTGAAACCAAGAATTTCTGAGTTGACATACTGACAGTCTTAAAACATCCCTCAACTTCTTGAAATCTTGCTTATCTCATCTACAAGATATGCATAAAATAGTATTAAATATTTTTGGTCGAGTTGTGAAACAATGAGATACTGCCCAATGACAAATTACAAAATAAGCTATGATTTAAAGATCACGCTATACTACCTTCATGAAATCAATTGGTAATATTTTCTGTATGCTAAGGAATAGTTTTAAAAACTGGAAGAAGAGCCAGCTGACTTAAGGTCTTTGGGGAAAAACAAACTTTAACAACTTTTATTTCACTTATTTGCATTTTCAGTATTTCAGCTGCATCTTTACTCAAATGTTTTGCTTCCTAGTTGGGTAATAAGTATTGTGCTTACACGTCGGAGAGGATGCAAGAACGAGTAAATTCAATTTTAAACAATAACTAGTAGGAATTTATAAACAAAAAATACTAAAACCATAAGAAATATTAGCTCCATTAAGGGAACCACCTCATACAAATCTGGCTCTTAAAGTCTAAAAACACAGCAGTTAAAACCCTATATTTCACAAAAAGTTCATCAATTTCTCCCTCTTCCCTAGCTAGTCTGAAAATGGGTTTGATTTCTAGGAAGAGAATGTTTAAGCAATGCTACAAAAGTTCTGAGTTATTTTAATTTTTGTTGAAGCAAATCTAGGTAGAAATCCTGAATTTAGAGATACTATTCATAGGTTGACAAACACCCTAGCCAAGGCAACATACTGAATTAGTTACAAGGTAGGTGAAATAAATTTGATGACAAGAAAATTTAAACGTGCTGGAAACATTGACAATTCATGAACTATAGCTACTGATAACTCCACTTAGGATACCCTAACCAGATGTAATCGAAGAGCTGAGATAACCATCAATATCCAGCCTTTAAACTCAGGTTTAAAAGGAGAACGAACAGCATCCAGATGAGTTCCTGCCATACTACTTCTGTGAAAATCAAAGATCCAAATAGAGGTTTTCATGTTAAATACAATGCACTCATCAGAGATCTGGCAGGAAGGAGACTACTGCAGTCTCTCCTACATCTGGGCATGCATGAGACATAGCTGTTAATTAAAGCAGTTTTTGTCCTTCAGTCATTCTATGTTTTTCTTGACTTATGCCAGAACCTTGGCTGGATGGGATATTTTTCAAGTGTGGTGACTCAATCCTTTATTCTTGTGGAATCTGAATCTTAGATTACCATGGTTTTCCATTGACTAGCGCTATTTGCAAAGGAAGTACTAACATACTACCAGAAAACTCTCTGGGTTTCAAGCATACTCCTTCTTGCCCACAATATGTAATGTCAACCTGAATTCTACCTTGTAATGGACTTCAACCACTCTACTCAGAAGAGTAATTCGCTTTTCTGCCTGTTGGTTCAGTGACACAAGAAGTCCAAGGTGGTGGTGGGGAGAGGAGACTGTTAATTCATTAGAACCCATGACCATATGCCTGGAGGAAGCATTGTCTTCGTGGCCACTGGGACTTCCAAACATCTGAGTCCAAAGTTGATAAGAGACAGGAAGCAAAAGTTATTTATGTGCATTTTATATATAATATTGAAAGGAGTCACTTCTACCTCAAAGACTTGATTTTTAACTATAAAAAGGAGAGATCCTGTGGTGACCAACACTTTTTGAGGGCTACCCCTGCATAGTGTTGAAAGATAGCTGTCCACTTCTGGCTGGTGCCAGCATGCCATGCCCATTCATCCACAAACCAAGCCTGAGCTTTTTTCTCATCTGCTAATGGTCATATGAGCTTCCCTTGACTTAATATATGTGGAAAGAGGGAGGGGCAACATAGCAAGAGGAGAGGTAAAATGGAGCTATCTACTTCATGCCATTCTAGTTATACTTTCCAAGCCTACTCAGTCACGATCTCACAAATATGATTCTTCTTTTATAATGAAGTGCAGCTGTGCACATCTAATTTTACAGTTCAGTGAATCAAATAATTCTCAGTTCATGACAGGTAATTCAGGCTGCATAATCACTTGATGTTCCATAATCAGGGATTCAGTCTGTCGGCGCCCAATAACAAGCTAGAAGTTTCTTTTCAACTGAAGAATATTTGTTACCTGAAGATGAGATGGCCTTACTCTAAAGCCCCAAAAATGTATAGTGTGATTCTCCTGTTGGTGCTTGCCAGGGGGGTCATGAACCATCTCTTCTGGCCACAGACATCTAAGTTCTAGTGGGTCCTATGGATCATAAGGCCCAAGTAGCTGAGTAGCTTAGATGAGAGCCAGAACTTGATCAGTAGTGGATTTTTTTTCTTCAACTTTTAAGTTCTGGGGTACATGTGCAGGATGTGCAGATTTGGGCTTGTTGCATAGGTAAACATGTGCCATGGTAGTTTGCTGCACAGATCAACCCATCACCTAGGTATTAAACCCAGCCTCCATTAGCTATTCTTCCTGATGCTCTCCCTCCCCCTGTACCCCCTACAGCAGATTTTATTCTTTAAACCTCCTGAAGGAGTATTTTGCAGGCCTCTCAAGGGTAGAGTGAGAGAGTAGAAGGTTAAGGGACCAAACATCACAGTTTTCAAGGGACTATCCTGGAGTTGCCACTGAAAATCTCATGTCCCAGGAAACCCCTCAGTCTTTCTTAGGCATATAATCTTGTTGGCTGCCCTAGGAAAAGAGCAAGTTGCACATAACAAATCTTCATCAACACTCCCATCTACCTGAGGTCTTAGATTTCTTTAGGATGCCAAGGATGTTATAGCATTTCAACCTCATTTTGTTCGAACTACAGGTGGCTGACTTATCAGAATGTGAGTTATATTTATAAGTTTTCAAGTCAATAAATTTAATTTCAAATTCTAGGTGAAAGTACTCATGTCAATACTTTATCTTACTCAAGGCTTTCTTTCTTTTTTTTCCTAGCCTAATACCCTTAGATTTCATTGTCATAGATATATATACCCAGATCCTGGCCAGTACAGATTGGTGAAATTCTGTAACTCCTTTGGCACCTAGACTGCTCTATCTGCAGATCAGGACTGGTGTTTCATGCGTCTGAGCTATGTTGGCATCTAAATCTCATGGTGGCACTGAAGGTGATAAAGCATGATGGAAGTGTGTATTGAAAACAACTGATATACTCTTATGAGAAATTGCCCCATATGTCCAAGTCTTGCACTCAACATAAGTCTTTTATGCAGAGGATGAGTGGATTTCTCAGAAGAGAAAAAAGGGTTTCCTTAGCCAACAGGACAGAGTGAGTGGAAATTAAGGAAATCATATATTTGGCCCAAATAAATCAACTTCTCGTATACCAGTGAACCAGTCTTTCTTCTCCAGAGGCCTAATTTTAGTGTAAGAAATTTGGTAGCTTTAACATGTGAAAGATAAGATAAGGGTTGCAGAGTAGCAAGAAGGGTTGCAGAGTAGCAAGACCTAATCTCAGGATAAGTCTTCAGACATATTTGCTCCACAATTGCAGGAGATGATGAATTCTTTTATAGCTGCCATCAAGGCTTTCTGATTGTTCACCAACATTCTCAGTTGTACATTCATGTATTTCAATTTCCTCTTCTCTTTGTGCCGTCTAGGACCATAAAAAGAAGCCAGGTGACCTATAATCTCCATCATCACTATAGTTGTCATAGTAAGTGCTTCAGTCACTTGAGGTCTCAACACTTTGCCTCCACCTGCACTTTATTTCACCTGACCACCAGCAACCATCTGAGAAATTGTGATGCTACTAACCAAGATGTGAACAAACAGAATGCACAAATGATAAATTGGTCAAATATATGTAACCAATGGAGAGCATGGATTCAGTTAGATATGATTTATGGGCAAAAGCAATGAGAAGTTTACTGGCAGAATGTAATGTAAATGCAATAATCCTTAAAGGAAACTTTTATAATGTAAGCTCAAGAGCCTCAACGTTAGAACTTAGGTTTTCAGGTCTTTTCTGAGTATGCACACAGTCCTGTGCATACACATAGACTTCTGTATGTGGTTGTCCTTCAGGATTCCCAGGAACATATCAGAGCTTTTCAAAATTATGAATTGAGGCAAAAATCCAGCAGCCAATTTGAAAAATTATTTATAGATATTATCTTATTTTTAAGTTATGAAATCAAGACTATTTACAGTTTTAGATTATTTACAGTCATACAATCAAATGCATGAAAAATAAATAAAGAATAAAAGCATTCTAAGTTTTGACTGTGGCAGAGGAAGAAGGAGATGTAGGAAGGGAAGAAAGCCAATGTAGCAACGTGAGAAGACAGAGAAAATAGTGAAGGATACCATTTTAAATAAAAGAATATTAAAATAAACACTGCTAGCATGTTCCTAAATTTACCATTGATATAAGTGACTGAAACTAAGTCAACGATCACATTTCACTGTATCTTAAATATGACACTCTTAAAAAAAAGTAAGTATAAATGTAGAAAGTAAAGTGCAAAAATATAGATAAATGCAAAAAAATTATTTTAAAAAGAAAAACAACAACAACAACAACAAATAACACTGCAGTTCCAACGTTAGTACTGGATGATTGGAACTCAATCCAAACCTGTTTAATAAGACCAAAAGGCTCAAATTATAATGGAAAGGATATAAACACCTATACAGTGGAAATATCCTTCATGATATTTTTAATGCATTAAATAACATTGTATTCAAATACACTAAACTAAAATCTAGAAATGAAGGGAGAAATTGACAGAAACAAAAATTATAGATGGAAACTTGATTTGTCTGCTAATGGGAAATAAGTAGAGAAAACAAGTAAATCATAGATAAGATCTGAATATGGATAAAGTCGATTCATTAAAGACACATAAAAGTTTATACCCTGAACTATCAAACTAGCAATGCACATAAAGAAAAGATAAAAAAGAAGTTATATATTTATGAAAGGGGGACTAAATTTGGTATTACTCTCCAGTCATAAGATTATTTGCCTAGGAAACATAGAAAAATAAATGAAAAACTATTTTTAAATATAAAAAAATCATTAGCATTTTTAGAATAATTTACAGATTAATGTTAAAAGAACAGCCAGGAAAATATTCACAGAAAAAACATACCATTTACAATAGAAAGAAGAATAATAAGAAAGGTGACATAACTAGAAATGATTACTAGATATCTATTAAAGCTATCAAAATAAAACTTTAAAATTTAAAATTCTTCTAGTCTATATTCTTTGTTATGTGTGTCCATTGAAGTCTCTGCTCAGTTATCTTAATGGTCGTTTAATGATTGGACAGAGATTTCCTTAACTACCTGAAACTAATGTCTTCCACAGTCTTTGTTGAGGGGTTTTGTGTGTGTGTTGGGTATACTTTCTACATTCAAGAAGTTACAACTCTACCTTAGCCTTCACTTCCTGTTTACACAGAGCCTCAAGGTTAGAACTTAGGTTTTCAGGTCTTTTCTGAGCATGCACAGAGTCCTGTGCATACACATAGACTTCTGTATGTGGTTGTCCTTCAGGATTCCCAGGAATGTATCAGAGCTTTTCAAAGCTCCCTGTGAGTGTACTATTTCCCTACTTCCCCTTTTAAGGTTTCTTTGCCTATTGTTTTCTCAGTCTACCATCCATTGCCTCAGGCAGCTGTGGTGTTATACAGTTGTCTCTGATTGTTTCAACAAACAATCCTGGGGAAAAGGCTATTCACATTAGGCAAGTTCCAAGTCACAGTCAAATAAAGATATCCTTGCAAGTAGTGTATTCCAGTGAGTCACTAGACAGGTCAAATAACAATAATCCTCGAGGAATGCAATTTTAAAGGAATTCCAAATCCATTCTGTCCCGACCAGTGGCTTCCAGGATGCAATGTTAGTTTTTATGATGATTAGGATGTGGGAATAGTGCTACAGTACTGCAAAACTGCTTATTTGTACCAATATTCAGCCATTGTTCTTGAATAAATATCCCTGGAGTTTCTGCAAGCATTGATTGATTTCTATAGTTTTGAAAATTTTAATTCTAATAATTTTTACTAGTGCTCTCATTGCTTTTATGGAGGAGAGAATTTTAGAGGTCCTTACTCTACCATTTTTTGATGCCACCTCAGATCACATATTGTGGACCAAGAGTCTGAATTCATGGATTTATCAAAATGTTCCTAAGTGGACACCTCAGGAATTCAACATATGATATTGAAGTTTTCCAAGGGTTGATCAAATATCTTGAGCTAATCAATTAGAAACATCACATAGATGATTATATGAAGTTTCCTGAGTATTGTATATAATCTTTCAATGAGAACAAATAGCCCTGAAGTTTGAGAAAATAGCTCAGTTGGTCATTTATATTGCCATGTGACAGATCAACACAAATCTTAGCGAAAAGACAACAAATATTATATTATTTCTCATGAACTTTGTGGGTAAGAAATTTGGAAAGGACTTTTGTTTTGAATCATGGTTATGGTCAGATGGTAGTTATGGCTGGAACATTCAAATTTGGGGGACTAAAGTACCTGGCAGTTGCCTGGGCATCTCACTTTCTTTGTATTAGTCTCGTGCCCTTACCATGTGCTCTTTGTATGTGAGATAGTTTGGGCTTCCTCACAACATGGCACCCTCATGGCTATAGAATGATTTCTGTAGCCTCTGAAAGCTTCAAGAATGAGTATTCCAGCAAATAAGACAAGTGACATTATCTTTTATTATCTAGCCTCAAAAATCATACAGTATTATATATATTACATTTTATTGATTACAAATGGTTCATAAGTCCACTCAGTTTCATGCGGAAAGAAATAGGTTCTACTCCAGGATGGAACAAAGGCAAGGTTCTAGAAGAGCATGCATGGATGGAGATAATGTTGTAGCCAATTGTGGAAAATACAACCTGGCACTCAATTATAAATTTCATCTGCAATCACTGGGAACTTTGAGAATTGATAAATATAATTTAGTACTCAGTAAATGACTCATGAGTGTCTTTAACACTTTGTAAAAATCAATAGTTGATGATATCCATAAACTTCTTTATAGATAATTGATGTCTTGAGTAATTGACCTTCAGTTTCCCTTTAGACTGAATGTAATTGGTTTCAGTTTTCATTATAAGTTAATTATTTGCCACTGAGATGAGGTAGAATTTGCCAAACCAGTTTCACTTTTTGACTCATCACTAAGTATGTTTTATCCCATTGCTATGTTGACTTCTATTAATATAAGCCCACAAGTTGAAACATTGCTTCCAACTCAATTGCTTAGTTTAAAAGGCAGAAATTATTTTGGTAAGACATGACAAGGATGATGAAATGCTTTGTGTATCATTCTTCTTTATAAGACACCATGATTCTGACAACTTTCATTCCTCATTTAGTATTGAAACATTGCCATCTTTATTAAACTTGTTGTCAGGTATATCTACTGAGGACCAATTTGCTATGTATGTCTCATCTACAAATTGTCCGTGGAGTGAGGCATTTGTAGCTGAGATGGGGATTTGATATTCAGGTTGAATCAAACCTCATTACCATGACTATTAGCATTTCTAACAAGGCAGTATAAAGTCTCTGGAAATAGTGGCAATTTTGCAAATGTTTGGCTCTTAAGTGTTTAATGTCATTATTTTTACGTTTTATTCTAAAATGTGATAACACTACAAAAGAGAATAAATGTAAATGTAGAGTATACTGCATAATCACAAAGCAAATACACATTTAGCCACTACCAAAGATGAGAAATTAAATCTTGCCAGAAATTCTGAACTCTTGCTCCATATTTATTCCTCCTCCGTGACATACCCTTTTCCTCATCCCTTTAAATAACCACTATACTAGTTTTTATGATAATTGCTTTCATGGATTATTAAATATATTTTAGCAATTTGGTATACAACTATAAAAAGTATTAATTTTGCCTATTTTTAACTTTAACTGGAGGAGCAATGAATCTAATACTTTGCAACTTGATTTTCTTCTCTCACAGTTATAAAGTGCACTCAAGTTGTTTATTGATTCTGATTTTCAAGTACTTAAAATAGTTTGTAGCATGCAATAGGTGTGTAAAGATGCTAATTTTCACATTTCCTTATTTTCAGTGTTTTCAAATCCTTAAACAAATCCCAGTCTGTTTATATTTGGACCCAAGAGGACTTCACTTTGCATTAACAACCCCAAAATTTACATTTGGATTCATTTGATTTTTATTATAAGCCAAATCAGCTTATTCCCATATTCACTTTTACAAAATTTTTTATAGAGACTGAGCTGCCTTTTCAAACTTTTATTTGCGTAGATATAAAGCCAAATAGAAAAACTTTCTTAGATGAAAATCTGGAATTAAAACAAATTCCAGAAAAATCACATGGGCAATATTTAATGTGTGCTGGCACTATTGTAAGCATTTTATATGTGCTGACTTATTTAGCACTCATCACAGCCCTATTATTACTTACTTCAGTGTTATAGATGAGTTTAAAGAACCAAAGCTAGGTTTGACAACTTGCCCAACATCAAACTGCTAGAGGCAAAGTTGCGATTTAAACCCTGATGCTCTGTCCCAACATCCTATGCTCTTAACCAGTACATTAAACCTCTTAGATATGCGCTCACCTTCAGTGGAAGCTTTTACTGAATACAGATGGGTCTAAGGTCCTTTTGTTCCTAATCAATTATTTCCATGGCTTTATGTAGGTCAGTTAGGGCAGCAAGGAAGGCTTTTCCATGAGATAGAAGGTATCAATAAGCTGGCTGGAAAAACAAGGATCACATTGCTAACCCACATCAGGAGAGCTGGTGTGCCTTGGCTCTCCCATGGCTTGTTTAGAGCCAGCAGAATCATCTCCATGAAACTAACACATGAACCTTCAAAATGAACCAAATTTCACAAAGCTAAGAGGGAAACTCCATACAATTTTGTTAGCAAGACTCCTTAAGCACATTCACTATTTGTTTCTTGTCCCCTTGCTGTTTCTGGGTTCAGAATCCTTCTAGAGCCCGTAAGTTCTTGCTGTCATTCGCGCTTATTTTCATCCAATCAGAGGCTGACATAGAGTTTCCAACCTTAGCCGGACACTATTCTTGATCAACTTGTGCTAAAATCTAGTGTCCTTGGGCTAACCCAAGGACAACCCCGAGGCCCTTAGCTTTATTGTCTCTAAAATGAGACATATGGGCCAGGCGGGGTGGCTCATGCCTGTAATTCCAGCACTTTGGGAGGCCGAGCCAGATGGATCGCTTGAGCTCAGGAGTTTGAGCCCAGCCTGGGTAACATGGAGAAGCCCTGTCTCTACCAAAAATACAAAAAATTAACCTGGCATGGTGGCATTTGCCTGTGGTCCCAGCTGCTTGGGAGGCTGAGGTGGAAGGATAACTTGAGACCATGAGGCAGTGGAGGGTGCAGTGAGCCAAGATTGCATCACTGCACTCCAGCGTGGGTGACAGAGGGATACGGCATCTTAAAAATCAATAGATAAATACATAAATAAGATGAGATATTTGAACAAAATGACCCACAAGGTTTTGGCAGTTTCACAACGCCGTGCTTCCTTTCCCAGCACTTGCAGTGTGGTCTCCTGGGTGTCGTTATAATGTATCACCTCAGTTAGATAATATCAGAAGAGCTTTATTGTCAGATTTCACACAGAAAAGACCAGATATGGTTTGTGTTACTTCATGTTGGATGAAGCCATAATAATTGAATATTAGAGAAGGAACCTATTAGAGATGGATTGTGTCTAATTCACTTATTTGGATAACTATTCTATTGGCGTTTGTTAGCAAAAAAAAGCCACAGGCTGGCCTAACTAGCTATAATTTTATAACCCTTGTTTTAAAAGATTAAGTGGTTGTTTTGGGCTTAGTATAGGCAGGCTGCTCTAATAACATAAAACGAATTTTGTTTATCATCTGAATCCTTGGTTATTGATTGGAGAATATTTATTCTCTTAGATTTGTTATTCACAGAATTTTGCCAAATATTACCAAGGAGGTGACATTCAGGAATATAATTTCCTAATATGTAGCATCACCATGCTTCATCTTAATTTCATATTTTATAAAAGAATAAAACAAGTGATCCAGTACATTTTGGAAAATTAAAGATGTAAAAAAGTAAAACAATTGAATTTAATTAATTCAACTTAATTCAATTAACTCAATTTAATTTATTCAACTTGTTAGGCAACCAAGGGTTTTTTTTAACATTAATTTTACTAAATAAAATGTCAGACCTAAATAACATAATTTAATTGGTTGTTTTCTGAAAAATGAGTTTATTTTTTTCTCCAAAATAGACTATTTCCATATACTCTTCAACAATATTATGGGTTGTTTTCAAGCTGTTCATGTCCACTATTTGACTTATACAAGGAAAACAAGACTTGCTGATGGGAGAATAAAATTAAAATATGTATAAAACTTCTCAATGTAAAGGATATAATACAAACAGATTATGAGCATTTTATATGGGAAGAATAGAAAAAAAATGAAACAAATTGATCTGTTTAATAAATGAAGTGTGGACTTAGAGGGAATTAAATTAAAATGTTTTTCAACTCCTTTAAACCTGCAAGTCTAACAATTAATATACTATTTTACAACATTAAAATTTTTAAAGATTTAAAAAATGCTAGTTTATTTTCAAAAATATTTTGCTGCATTCTGACTGCCATAGAAATCAATGAAGAGTTAGTATTTGTTGATTTCAAATATAAATTCATTTTCTCAATTTCGTTTTCTTCTAAATCCAGAACCCTGGAGTGTAGTCAGACCCCTTTCTTCAGTTCTATCTGCCTCAAGAGTCTCTCATAGACGTGGCCACTTTATGAGTTAAAGGGCATTTTTTTCCACTCAGTATTATTTGATGCAAAAATGCAGAAAGATCAATTAGAGGTTCTTCTTTGAGAACTCAGGAGACAGCAAACAGGGCATCCTTTTCATGAACTGCTAACAGTAGACAGGCTTTTAGAAAAAGTAATTTTAAATTAATGGGAGCAAGTCTTTGATGCAGTTAAAACTTCAAAGACATGCCAAGTTTTTATTTGTAATAATAATAATAATAAAAAAAAAAGGAGTTACAGTAAGAGGAGGTTGCACATTAAAGCTTACAAAATCTCCCTAAAGGGCTTGGTGTGACAGGAGTGTGGGCAGGGGTTTCCACTTCTTTCTCTCTCTCTCACTCCCCCTCTTTAACTCCCTTTCTCTTTCTCTTGTTTTCCCTCCCTTATTCCCACCTTGCTTCCTCCCTTCCTTCCTTCCTTCTGTCTTATCATCACTTCTCCCTTTTATACTTCTTGTGGTTACATCCAACTTAGTTAATAACCACTAACAAACCAACAGTGCCAACTCTCCAATCTCACAAGTTTAAAAAACCAAAACTGGCTCTCACTTGGGAAAGATAAAATTACCCTGATAATTTGTAAAAAATCTTTTTAAGGGCCAGACGTGGTGGCTCATGCCAGTAATCCCAGTATTTTGGGAGACAAAAGTGGAAAGATAAGTTGAGGCCAGGATTTCAGGACCTGCCTAGGCAACATAGTGATGCCTCAGGTCTACCAAAAATAAAAAAATGAATTAACTGAGCATGGTGGCACACATCTGTAGTTCCAGCTACTCTGGAGGCTGAGATGGGAGGATTGCATGAGCCTGGGAGGTTGAGGCTGCAGTGAGCTCTGACTGAGACACTACACTCCAGCCTGAGTGACAGAGTGAGACTGTCTCAAAAATATATGTATATATTTAGTTTAAATGAAGAAGGAGTCATTCATTGATTTGGACAATTCCTTTTACTTGGCAAGACTGGGATGCCACATAATATATCTGAACTAATTAAGAACAATAAGTCACTTTCAAACAGAAGAAAGGAAGAGGGAAAAAATGCCAGTGAGGTACAAGAAGCTTTAGCTAATGAGGGGTGCTCCACTTCATTTCTGTTGATGCCTCATGCTAGGAACTGTGAACAGCTGTTGTATAGATTTAGGAGTAATCAGAGTAGGCCAAGCACAGTCATATGGCAAACAGTAGGCCTAGTATTCCTCTAAGCAGTTTTTTTTTAAATCTTTGACTCTACTCATGGAAGCTAATACCTAAGCAATGTGCAACAGAGCTGAAAGAAACAATTCTAGGATAATCAGTTCCTACAGAAATAAAATATTCTACATTGTTAATTAAAGTCAATGTAACTGTGTAAATTATATATATGTGTGTTTGCCCACGAGATCAGCAGCTCAGCTCACCTCCTAAAGAACAGATAATTACTTGCCAGCTGCATTACCGATTCCCCAATGCCCAAGCATGCCACCAGGGACCTGAGGATTGTTCTGCCCCATCTGCTACCCTGTCAGTGAAAGTGCACCACCAGGAAGCCTCACAACAGGCCCAAAACACTTGTTTCTAGCACCAAAGCACATCTTCTGGAGGCCTGGGGATTGCCCCACCATATCTACCTCAGCTGACATCTATGTACTCCTCCAACAAGCCTGAGGACAAGCCTACCCACCTGCCACCACCACCACTGTGGGTACCCACCATAAGTGCCACCTGGGGTACTGGGGCTGGCCTGCCTAGCCCATTACAGCCACTGCTAACATCAGTGCCTGTTGCCTGGGCACCCACCACCATTACTGCCTTTGCCCACATAATGCACCTTGCCCAGGGGTGCAAGGACACACCCAGCAGCCTGGCCCACCACTCTTGGTGAGCCACCTGGAGGTTCCAAAATTGAACCCGCTAATACCCGCATCTGTATATGCTGCCCAGGAGCTTGCAGACAGGCACTCTCAGCCTTCCACTGCCACCACTGGGCCTAGAGGACTGGCCCACCTGTTATCTTTGTCCCCAGCAAAGCCTTGCCACAGCCTTTACTAATAACCACTCCCTAAGTCACTGAGGAAAATACAGACACTACTGTTGCTGTTTACAGCTGAAGAAATCACACAGAGATACACTACTGCATGTATCCAGAATCAAAGCTAAAGTGCCCCACTGAACAAATACCTTGGATATAATCTCAAGAAAAAGTCTTCCCTTACAAAAATGAATCCAAAAACTTGAAAGAAGTGACAGTTGCACAATATGTGCAGATATCAATGTGAGGACACAAGAAACATGAAACAGAAATATGACATCGCTAAAGGAAAACATTAATTCTCCAGCAACAAATGTCAATTAAAATTATGAAATGCCTGAAAAAGAATTTAAAATAATGACAATAAAGAAGCATAGTGAGATACAAGAAGACACAGATGAGCAATACAAAGAAATTAGAAAAACAACTGATGGTATAAGTGAGGAATTCACCATAGACAGATATATCATACAAAACAAACAAACAACAGAAATTCCAGAACTGAAGAATTCAATCAATGAAATAAAAAATACAACCAAGAGCCTTAATGATAGACTATCTCAAGCAGAAGGGAAGAAAATAGAACTGGAAGACAGAGCCTTTTAAAATAACAGGCAGACAAACAAAGAAAAAAAGACTAAAAAGAAATGAAGAAAATATCCATGACCTATGAGACACCATAAAGCAACCAAATATTTGAATCAGAAAAAAACCATATGATCATCTCAATAGACACAGAAAAAGCATTTGATAAAATTCAATATTCCTTCATAATAAAAACTCTCAACAAACTAAGCATAAAAGGAACATACCTCAATATAATAAAGGCCACATATGATAGGCCCAGAGTTAAGATTATACTGAGTGAGGAAAAGCTAGAAGCCTTTTCTCTAAGAGCTGGAACAAGACAACTTTGCCCACTTTTGCTACTTATATCCTACATAGAAGATCCAGCCAAAGTAATTAGGAAAAGAAAGAAAGACAAAAGACATCCAAATTGCAAAACGGAAAGTCAAATTGTTCCTATTTGCAGATGATATTAAATTATGTTTAGAAAAACCTAAAGACTCCATTAAAAAAGTCTTAGATCTGATAAATAAATTCAGTAAAGTTGCAGAATACAAAATCAATATACAAAAATAAGTTGTATTTCTGTACCTCAATAATGAGCCACTGGAGAACTAAATCAAGAAGGTAATTCCATTTACAATAGTTACCCCAAAATATAAAATACCTAGAAATAAATTTAATCAAGAAGGTGAATGATCTCAACAAGGGAATCTACAAAACACTGATGAAAGAAATTAAAGAGGAAACAAAGAAATGGAAAGACTTCCTTTGCTCATGGATTGGAAAAATTAATATGCTTAAAATGAGCATATTATCCAAAGCAATACATAGATTAACTGCAATTCTTAGCAAAATACCAATGACATTTTTCACAGAAATAAAAAAAAATTCTGAAATTGTATGGAACAATACAGGAAAAAAAAAAAGATCCTAAGCATCCGAAGGAATCCTGAGCCAAAAGAGCAAAGTTGGAGGAACAGTTTAAAATATATTGCAAGGCTATATTAACAGCATGATATTGGTAGAAAACAGATACATAGACTAAGGGAACAAGTAAAGAACTCAAGAATATATCTACGTATTTATAGCCTAGTGATTTAAAACCAAAGCACCAAGAACATACATTGGAGAAAGGATACCCTCTTCAATAAATGCTGTTGGGAAACCTGGATATCCATCTGCAGAGGAATGAAACTAAAGCCCTAACTCCTGACATATACAAAAAAAAAAAAAAAAAAAAAACTTCAAAAATGGATTCAAGACTTAAATGTAAGACCTGAAATTATGCAATTACTAGAAGAAAACACAGGGGAAGGCCTCCCAACCATCAGTATAAGCAAGTATTTTATGGCAAAAATCTCAAAAATCACAGACAACAAAACTGAAAATAGACAAATGGAATAATATCAAACTAAAAACCTGCACAATAAAGGAAACAAAAAGTGAAGAGACAAAATATTTAATGGAAGAAAACACTTGCAAACTATTCATCCAACAAGGGACTAATAACCAGAAGATACAAAGAACTCAACCCACTCAACAGCTAACTGAATAAATAGCAAATAGTCTTATTAAAAAGTGTGCAAATGCTTTGAATAGACTTTTCAACAAAGAAGATATACAAATAGGCAACAGGAATATGAAAAATGATCAACATAACTAAACATCAGTGAAATGCAAATCAAAACCACATTGAGATGTTACCTTACCCACTTAGAAAAGCCTTTATCAAAAAGACAAAAAAAGGGACAACTGTTAGAAAGGATGCAGAGAACAGGGAACTATTATACACTGTTGGTGGGAATGTAAATTATTATAGCCACTATGGAAAACAGTGTGAAGATTTCTCAAAAAAACTAAAAACTGAACTATCATATGATCCATCAATTTCATTACTATGTATCCAAAGGAAATAAGTCAGTATATCAAAGGGATACCTGCACCCTCATGTTTATTGCAGCACCACTCACAATAGCAAAGTTATGGAATCAACCTAAGTGTCCATCAATGGATGAACGGATAAAGAAAATATTGTATAGATATACAATGAAATACTATTCAGCCATAAAAAGAATTAAATTCTGTCATGTGCAGCAACATGGATGGAATTGGACATTAAGTGAAATAAGCCAGGCATAGAAAGACAATTTATTTATTTATTTATTTATTTTTGTTGAGACAGAGTCTCACTCTCTCACCCAGGCTGGAGTTAAGTGGCCCCATCTCAGCTCACTACAACCTCTGCTTCCTAGGCTCAAGTGATTCTCATGCCTCAGTCCCCATGAATAGGTGGGACTACAGGCAAGGGCCATCTCGCCCAGCCAATTTTTTTTGTATTTTTAGTAGAGACAAGGTCTCACCATGTTGCCCAGGCTGGTCTCGAACTTCTGAGCTCAGGCTATCCACTCATCTCGGCCTCCCAAAGTGCTGGAATTACAGGTGTGACCCACCGCACTTGGCCAGAAAGACAAATTTATCACATCTCACTCATATTTAGGTGCTAAAAAAGTTAATCTTATGTAGGTAGAGAGTAGAATGATAGTAACCAGGAGCTGAAAAGGGTGTGTGGGTGGGGGGGATGAAAAGAGGTTGGGTAATGGGTACAAACGTATAGTTAGAAGGAATAAGTTTTAATGTGCAATAGCAGAGTAGGGTTACTCTAGTTAGCAACAATCTACTGTGTATTACAAAATAGTTAGAATAAAAGATATGAAATATTTTCAACATATAGAAATAAAAAAACTCTTGTAATAAATATTCTAAATACCCTGACTTGATTGTTACACATTCTACACATGTAATAAAATATCACATGTACCCTGTATTAGTTTGTTCTCACACTGTTGATAAAGACATACCTGAGAGTGGGCAATTTACAAAAGAAAAAAGTTTAATGGACTTACAGTTCCACATGGCTGGGGAGGCCTCACAATCACGGTGGAAGGTGAAAGGCATGTCTTACATGGATGGCAGCAGGCCAAAAGAGAGAGAGAGCTTGTGCGGGGGAACTCCTCTTTATAAAATCTTGTGAGACTTATTCACTATTGCGAGAACAGCATGAGAAAGATCCGCCCCTATGATTCAATTACCTCCCATTGAGTCCTTCCCATGACATATGGGAATTGTAGGAGTTACAATTCAAGATGAGATTTAAGTGAGGACGCAGCCAAACCATATCATATCCCATATATACCAATGTTATGTATCAATAAAAATATATATATTAAATTTGCTAACTGAATCAAAGACTTGATCCCATTAACTTTCAACTCTCTCATAACAGCCTACCATCAGCATCCCATTGCCATGAACTATTATTCATAATATTATTATTTATTAATATCAATCATAACATTATTACATAATTTATTTTTGAAATTTAAATCTAGAGTTTCTGCTGAGGTCCACTGTTATCATTTGAGACACTTTTTTAAAATTTGAAATGTATGATGGAGACCAATTCCCCTTGTTTGCTTCAGAATAATTTTTGCAACAAGGCATTCTAAATTCAAGAACTGCCATAATTTCTGTAGTTCTACATAGTGCATTATAGTTTCTTTAACTTAGTTTGTCATTAAAAGTATCCAAAATTCTGCTATAAAAGTTACAAGTGGAATTTTCAGCAATGTAGTTTCATAGCTTTGCTGACAATTCTTTGATTAAAATTAGAATATAAGCTCCATGAGAGCTGGAATTTTGTCTGCTGTATTTGCTGCTCCATCACCAGCACTAAAAGAATGCCAGACACACAGTAAGACATCAATGAATATTTTTTCCAATAGAAATATCATAAACTAAATGATATTCTTCACCTGGGCATAAATAAACTACTAGATATCACAAAATATTGATAAACTGGAACTTTGCTTTTATTTATATGTCTACAAGTATTTGTCGATGGTCCCAATTGAGGGTGCATTTGTGAACAAAACAGGTTCACTCTTCGCCCTCATGGAATTTACAGTCTTTCAAGGGCGACAGAACTGAATCCAAATACTTCATAAAGGAAAGCATAATTGCAAACTTCAATAGCAATTCTGTAATATGGATGGACAGAAGGAAGGAAGGGAGGGAGGGAGGGAAGAAAGAAGGAAGGAAGGAGGGAAGGGAGAGGGAGGGAATGAGGGGGAAGGGAAGGAGAGGGGAGGGGAGAGGAAAAGAGTAGAGGGGAGGGGAGAGGAAAAGAGTAGAGGGGAGGGGAGGGGAGGGGAAGAGAGGAGGGGAGAGGAGGGGAAGAGAGGAGAGGAGAGGAGGGGAGAGGAGAGGAGAGGAAAGAAGAGAGGAGAGGAGAGGAGAGGAGACGAGGAGGGAAGAAGAGAAAACCTAATTTCAAATATGGATTCAGAAAATGCCACACTCAAGGAATTGAAGCTGACATTGAGATCTGAAGAGAAAGTCAGTGTTAACTAGGTAAAGAGAGGAAGAAAAAAATTTTACACAGAGGGAACAGCCTGAGCCAAATCCAAGGTCAGTAGCTAACAAAGCTATTTCAAGAAACATAAGAAAGCTTGTAAGTGTGGAATCTATAGTGCAGGATAAAGGTCAACTCCTAAATGCTGGATGATAATGTGTGTTGTTATTTGGGCTGGAAACAAGTCATCTGATTTAATTCTGCTGGAATTCTGGCAATGGTAAATTAGCTCATTTTTCACCACAGCAGCAGCAAGCTATTCCAGTGGCCACAACTGGGTGTTTGATGCATAGGAGGTCCCACCAAAGACCTTGACAGTAATTCATTAATAAAAAGCTCTGCCCGGTGGAAGAAGTGTTAATTGTCTAAGATAGTGGGTTCTCAAATATAGACTTCATCATAATTACCTGAAAGATGTGTTAAAGAATATTGCCCACTTGCTGGAATTTCTGCCTCAAGATGTTTGTATTTCTGACAAGTTCTCAAGTGATGTGGATGCTGCTGGTTTACAGACCACTCTGAAAACTGCCAGTATAGAAAAACCAAACTAGATCCCTGTGTGTTTTGGACAAGAGAAACAGGTCATTGGGAATCAACAGGATAATGTAGCTAACAATTTAGAAGAACACAGATCCTATGAAAGCAAAACCTAGGCAGCAGGGGTCTTTTACTCCAGTCTCTATATCTAGCAATATGAGAAATTTGTTTTTTCCCTTGCAATATGTCAGCATTATGTATTTTTCTACATTCCTTATTCATTGTTTTTTTGTTAAATGGTTATCACCAAGATGAGACTCTGATGTGCAGTGACTGATATTTTAAGGAGTCACCTTTCCTTTAGGTTCTGAGTCTTTCATTAGAGCATGATCTCTTCTAAGTTATGGCAAATATGAAAGGACAGACTATAATAATGTTCACCAAAAAAGTAAACAAATAAAAACAAATAGCAAAATATTATTTTAAAGGTAAGGTAAGATAACCAATAGATATTACTAGGCATTTTGTTAAGTACTTAATACACATGATCTCATTTAATCAGCCCAACTGCGTGATTAAGTAGGTATTCTTGTTATTTCACAGTTGAGAACATGGATGCTCAACTTGGCAAGTGCTTACCTAATCAAGAAGTGTCTGAATCATAACTTTTCTCTAAAAAAGTAGTTACTCACCTTCTATTCATTCCATATATGAAATCACATGTGCGTACTTAGTGCAATGTAGTGGTTTAAAGCTGAAGCTTTGAAGTCAGACTCTATGTTCAACCCTAGCCTCACCACGAACTATGTATACCTCATAGGGTACATGTAGTTTAAACAAGCATATATTTTCCAAGCACCTTGAACAGTTCCCAGGACTCAAGAACTTTTACCCAAATGAATGCTTAAGTAAATAAAGTAAACATAAAAAAGGTTTCGCATGACACACAGTTTGTCCTTATTAAACATAATAGAAAAAGAGCACCAATATCTCATATGCTTTCATATATTTAAATATATGGCCTTAATTGTATTAATTATATGCCAGTCTAAGTTAAAGAACATCATTTTTGTGCTTTCAAAATGTAATTATAGCAGGTGACATCTGGCGTGACAGCATGAGGAATTCTGTAGCCCTACTCGTCAGGGAGACAGATTAAAATTACAAAAACCAGTAACGACCACCATTTAAAGTTTCTAGAAATAGTCCTGAAGGCATACAGGAATCAAATAAACATTTAGTCCAGAAAATCTACTAAAAATTGACAAGAGCAGTGAGAGTCTATGGTATTTGAACCAAGACTCACTCCTTCCCTACCTCCTGCTAGTTCAACAAGATAGAAATTGCACTCTAGCCTTGGCCAGCCAAAGAAACAGAGCTTCCTCCCTCCATCCTCTAGATGCTAGTCAGAGGACTATCTTCCTGAGAAAGGCAGGATGTTAGCATTTCTCATCCTTCCCCCAGATACCTGTTGATACTACTACAGCAGCTGAGAGGTGAGAGTTTCCATCTTTTGCCCAGCCCCTACATAGGATGTGCCTCTACTTTAGGCAAATGCCACCAAGAAGACTTGGACCCCTATCAGCCTTGTTCTCTGGTGGTTTTGTTTGTTTGTTTGTTTGCTTTTGCTATGGAGTCCGGCTCTGTTGCTCAGGCTGGAGTACAATGGCGCGATCTCGGCTCTCTGCAACCCCCGCCTCCCGGATTCAAGCGATTCTCCTGCCTCAGCCTCCCAAGTAGCTGAGATTAACAGGCACGCACCACTACGCCCAGCTAATGTTTTGTATCTTTAGGAGAGACGGAGTTTCACCATGTTGGCCCAGCTGTTCTCAAACTCCTGACCTCGTGATCTGCCCGCCCCGGACTCCCAAAGTGCTGCTCTCTAGCTTTTAAGGCAAAGATTTCCTGCTGGGAAATACAAGTCAAGAAGACCTGAGGCTACTTCCGCCCCCCCAACCAAGGATTCAACTCACAAAGTGGGATTGTAATGTAGAGAGACTGAGCCATTGTTCCTTTCCCAGCTCTAGAAATTTGGCTCTAGAAATATCCCAGCTCTAGAAATATTTTACCCTTAGAATGAGAAATACGCCATAAAACAGAAAGCTCTAAATCTCTTCCCAAAGAAACTGCAATGGAGTGTGGAAAAGTTCCAGGCTAAGAAAGCTCTTAAACGCAAGAAAGTTTGTGGTAAATAGCAACTGGGAAGAGATTGGTAGATTTAATGGAGGTATAGGCTAAAGTATAGACTGGCTAGTTTCCCAGAGAGATCTAGAGAAAGAGACAGTTGAAATGAACCTTTTGGGGGTCAGAAAACACCTGAAAAACTAACCTCAGGAATTATTCTTTCAAAAGAACTTAAATAAGATTGGCTAAGTCCCTGGAGCAATTTATGTTCCCAAAGCTTTGTTAAAACTAGAGAGCAATCACCTGTAAGTTAGTGGAGCTAAACATCCTGGGTTAATCTAGAAAAAAGACAGTCAAAGAGCCCAACCAATCCACTGTCACCCCAGGGTGACTATGGGCATGCCCAATACTGCCCCTCCTGAGGATTAACATTGGAGGCTTCACACAGTTGGCAAGCTGGAGAAGGATGAAATCGATTTCACTAAAATAATCTAGCCAGTTACTAAACAAATAAACAAATAGCAATAACAAGCCCTGGAGTGGAGAATTAGCCCTGTGAGTTGCATAATATATTATCTAAAATTTCCAATTTTCATTAAAAATTATGAGATGTGCAAAGAAATAAGAAATTATGACCCATATACTGGAAAGAAAAGCAGGCAACAGAAACTGCCTATAAGAGCAAATAGATTGTAACAGATTTCACAATGAACTCAAAATATTCATTTATAAATACTTTCAAATACCTAAAATAAGCCATAATTATAGAAATAAAGATATAATGAAAATGTTGCATCAAATAAAAAATAACATGAAATAGATGGAAATTATTTTAAAAGAACCAAATCAAAATCTGGCATTGAAAAAATATAATCAATAAAATTAAGAAAATTAATAGAGGAAATCAGTAACAGATTTAAAGTGGCTGAAGAAAGAATGAGCAAACCTGAGACTAGATTAGTGAAGATTATGTTATTCAAAGGACAAAGAAAAAACAGAAAAACGAACAGAATATCAGAGAAGTGTGAGACACCATTATGTGCATCAACATGCATATTATGGGAGTACCAAGGGGAGAGGAGAGAAGAAAGAGCAGAAAAATATTTAATAATGGCTGAAAAGTTCCAAAATGTATTGAAATATCAATCAACACATCTGGGAAGCTCAGTGAGCTTCAGGTTGGATGTACATCAAGAGATCCTTAAAGAAATGCATCATAGGAGAAATGCTGAAAGCCAAAGACAAAAATGAAATATTAAAAGTAATAAGAGGGAAACGGCTGGTCACTTACAAGGGAACTCAAAATAACATTAACAATTTACTTCTCATTAGAAACAATGGAGACCAGAAAACAGTGGAATAATTGTAATCAAATGGTTCAGAGGGGAAAAACATGTCAACAAAGAATCCTACATCTAGCAACGCTATTTTTTAAATGGAAGTGAAATAGAGACAGTCCCATTTAAAACAACCAAGCAAACAACAAAAACAACAGCAACAAAAACACAAAACCAGACCCAACCAAACCAAACGTAAGAGAATTTGTTGCTAGCAGACCCAACTTAAAAAAAGTGCTAATAAAGCATAATGTTAAACTAATAAAGCATAATGTTAAAGATGACTCTCAAGGCCCTTGTGTAAATCAAAATAAAGCTTGTGAAAGCATTTTAGAAGTTGAGTAATTCATGATATTAACATAAGCTGCAATTATGTTTTATCATACAATTTGTTTTGTTTTGTTTTGTTTTGTTTTGAGGTGGGCTCTCGCTATGTTGCCCCAGGCTGGTCTTGAACTCCTGGGCTCAAGCAATTCTCCTGCCTCAGCCTCCCTCATAGCTGGGACTACAGGTGTTTTATCATACAATGTTTCATTTAATGCATTAACCAACAAAAATATTTTTCCAAAGTCTAAGCTTCTTAATAGTAATCTTTAGTGACCTAAACAGGGTCATGTGTTTATGGCAGAACTGGATTGTAACTCCTCACTCTGAGCCCAGTGCTCATTCCACTTCACTTGACCAAGTTTCAGTAATGTCTGCACAAGATATATATACAAGGAAAATAAAGAGACAGGAAACATGGATTATTTATTTAATGATCTTTCCTAAATGATGCAAAGAGAGTGAGGATTTAATATAAAGGGTAAATGTCACCATCTTTTTACCCCTAAAGAGTCAGTTTTCTAAAGCTCAGGATTCTAGATGAGTATGGAATGGAAAAGATAGATAGAATGTACAATACTGGTCCCAGTACAATGGAAAATATTCACAGCAACTTATATACAGAAACATTGATTGATTCAATCAGCAAATATCAATTTGATTGGCTTTGTTGTGATTGATGGTTAGGAATATAGCCGTGACTATTTACACATATGGCCCTTGCAAAATGAGGCAGGGAGATAGACTATTAACAAATGTACATCATATCAGAGTTTCATAAATGCTATGTAAAAACAAATAAGTCAGAAATGAGAAAGGGGAGTTTAGGGACAATTTGTTTTATTGTGACATCTGACATCTGAGCAAATACTTGAAAGAGGTTAGTGGGTGAGCCATTCAGGTATCTGGAGAGTTTTCCAGCAGAAGGAAGACACAATACAAGGCCCTGAAGCTGAAGTGTGGCTGGCATGTTCAAACAAAAGCAAAGAGACATATCCAGGGCCCAGATGTTGAAGAATTTGCAACCATTGTGAGGAATTGGGCTTTTATTCCAGAAACCCAATGAGAGATGGGAAAACATTGGAGAATTTTGTGCAAGCCAGTGACATTATGTGATATAACATAATGTGATATAAACATAAACAGTGTCACTCTGATCGATGTGTTGAGAAAAGACTTGAGCTACCAAAGGCAAATGCTTGGGACACCAATTTGTGATGCTGATTATGCATCGGAATGTTTATATTCCAGCGTAGAGGACCAAGCTTGAGATATGAACAGCAATCAATTGTTAAGAGACTGAGTGAAAGAATATGGAACAAGGGCTTAAAGAGTAAGATGTTTACTTCTGAGAGGTGATTACCATGTTCTTATTGTAACTCTATGATGTGTTTCCAATAGATGAATAAAAAAGCACAACAATGAATATTAAAATGAAATTATTCAATTGCTGGTACATCTATTATACTGCTTTTTAGCTTCTGAAAAACACTGATAAAACTATCTAATCAAGTATCAGTAAATAATTTGGAATGAAATGTACAAATTGATTAGGTGACAAGAATCATCATGTAAAGTTGAATAGATCAGCCTTATTCTACTTCTTTTTGGGTTTCTCAAGCTGGATGTAATATGAAATTGTTGCCACCATCTTATCTGCAACTATTCATAAATCATTTTGATGACAATAATCTGTAAGTTTGAGCCCAGATATAA
This sequence comes from Homo sapiens, assembly GCF_000001405.40. Classification (NCBI taxonomy): domain Eukaryota; kingdom Metazoa; phylum Chordata; class Mammalia; order Primates; family Hominidae; genus Homo; species Homo sapiens. The sequence continues at coordinate 7,214,855 of NC_000020.11, read as the reverse complement.
GCCATGAATCATTCAGCTGAAGGAGAATTATAGTTGGAATACTACCTCTATAGGCTAAAAATTAAAGAGCAGGGGAGAAATAAATGAAATATAGAACCATGTACCTAGACATACTTTTAATCACTCCCAGTTCTCCTCAACCTCATCCCCAAAGACAGGAAAATATATGAAAAAAGCTATTCTCTGTAAAATTCAGAATTCTGTTTAACCCTCAAGCAGGAGTTCCTCCCCTAGCCAGCACAGTTGGGAATGCACTGAGTCTCCTACGTGAAGCCTGACCATCTCTGAGTCTCACCCAAGGCCTACGGCAAGTACTGCCTTTGTGCCACTACTCATTATTCAGGGCCCAAAGGCTCTTTAGTCAGCAGGTGATGAATCCTGCTAGAACTGGGTTTTTCCCTTCAAAGTAGTGGGTTCTTTCCTGACTCAGGGTGTGTCTAGAAATGTCATCAGCAGCTAGGGCCTGAAATGGGGGCTCAGGAATCTGCCTGATGCCTGATCCTTTTGTGGCTGAACTAGTATCCAAGTTGCAAGACAAAGCCCTCTTTAATCTCCCCTCTCCTCTCCTCTCCTCAGGCAGAAGGAAGGAGTTTCTCCCAGAACTGAGCTGTACCACCTGAGGTTGGGGGAGGGGTGGCACAAGCACTCTTTTGGTCACACTGGGTGGAATTTCACTGGATCACCTGCCCCCCAAGTCCACTGATTCCAAGCCCAGTAAAGCACCAGCACTTGCCCAGGAATTGTAGATCTTGTGGCCTAGCCTGCGTTTCAATTTTGTTTAGGACCCCAGAGCACTTTAGCCTGCAGGGGGTGGGCTTACCAGAATTTAGATTCTGATTACTGGGATAGATGATTACCCTCTGGGTAGAGCTTGTCTAAATGTTTCCTTCATGGGCGCTGGCTGAGTTCTGCCTAGTGTTGCTTTCTACTGTGACAGGGCAGCACTGAGTTCTAATGCAAAGCCCACAATCCCTTTGTGCTCCCTTCCCCAAGCACATAGATGCTCTCCCCATGCCATGTGGCCTCTGCGAGGGGATGGGGTGGGGTGATGTCAGCAATTCAAGACTGTGTTTCCTACCCGCTGTAGTGCTTCTTTCAGTAATATGAAGTTAACATCAGGTACTGTGATCACTCACCTAATTTTTGGTTCTCATGAAGGTCCTTTTTCTTGTGTGGTTAGTTGTTCAATTTGGTGTTCCTTTGGGGAGGATAATCAGTGGAGTCTTCTGTTTGGTCATCTTGCTCCACTTTCTCTCCAAAAGTATTCTAAAATTAAATAGTGGTGATCATTGCACGTATATATGAATATGCTAAAAAGTTACTGAATTATGCACTTTAAAGAGTAAAATTTGTGGTATGTGATTATTTATTTAATTTTAGATTCAGAGTCATGCTCTGTCACCCAGGCTGAAATGCAGTGTTGTGATTTTTGGCTCACTGCAGCCTTGAACTCCTGGACTCAAGAAATCCTCTCATCTTAGCCTCCGAAGTAACTCAGATCTCCATGCCCAGCTAATTATTTTATTGTTATTATTTTTATTTATTTATTATTTTTTTTAAGAGATACGGTCTTGCTATGTTTGAGGTCAGTCTCAAACTCCTGGCCTCAAGCAATCCTCCCTGTCTCAACCTCCTGAACAGCTGGGTTTTGATATGTGATTGTATCTCAATAAAGTTGTCATTAAAAAAAAAGCAACAAAAAATGAAAGAATGGTAAGCAAAGAATTTAATAAATGTAGATGAATAGAGCAAACACTGTAAAAAGTAGTAAGAAAGATGGCAAATCTGGGAATATAAAACAAAACTAAAATATTAAGCAACAATAACATGTAATGCTTGAAAGGTCGGGGGAGTTAAGTATTCATAAACAGCTTTGATTTATTTGGAGGATGGTTGAGATAGTTCTTAATTTTGCACAGTTTTTCAATTTAATAAGTTATAATTTTAAAGATAACTTCTAAAATAGTACAAATAAAGTATGTATTTCTCAGGCCAATAGCAGATAAATATGTACAAGTCAATACATTGTTTTAAAGGCAGAAAAAGACTAAAAATAAAAAAGCAGGGTAAAATGAAAACATATATTAAGATGGTAGACATGAATGTGCATATATTAGATATCATATTTGATAGCAATGTTTTTCTTATAAACAGCACCAAAAGAATGAGACTATCAGATTTTATTTATGAATTAAGTCCAAAAGATAAAATTTAATAGGTGAAAAAAAGTTTTTATGTGTGAATATATGAGTTTTTGTATAAGAAGGCCTGCAGTAATTTAACTTCTCATGTCCATACCATTGCTCAGTTGGTTGTGCCCTCTCACATGGACTCTGGCTTGGCCCTGTGACTTACTCTGGCAAATGGAATATTACCAAATGGTATTCAAGCAGAAATATAAAAAAATTTTTTTAGGCATTTGAGCTTGTTCTCTTGCTCCTCTTTTTTTTTTTTTTTTTCTTTTGAGGTGGAGTCTCACTTTGTCGCCCAGGCTAGAGTGCAGTGGCACGATCTCAGCTCACTGCAAGCTCCTCCTCCCGGGTTCACGCCGTTCTCCTGCCTCAGCCTCCCGAGTAGTTGGGACTACAGGCGCCCGCCACCACGCCCGGCTAATTTTTTTGTATTTTTAGTAGAGACGGGGTTTCACCATGTTAGCCAGGATGGTCTCGATCTCCTGACCTCATGATCCGCCCGCCTCGGCCTCCCAAAGTGCTGGGATTACAGGCGTGAGCCACCACGCCCGGCCCTTGCTCCTCTTTTAAATCCTAAAATGGTCATATTTTTGTGGGGAAGATCTACTAAAGAATAATAATCCATAGACAGTAGAGGTAAACCTTCTTAAGAAACGATTCTCCACCCAGATACAATTTTAACAACTATACTATGTGAAAAAAAGCTATCCTAAACCATTTAGCTACCGGCTAATTCACCAGATGACCAGAGGTACATAAAAGAGCCCCAGAGAGATCCATGGAGTTGGCCCAGACCAGAACTGCTTAGAATTATGAACTATTTAAAAAGGTATTTTTAAGTAATTAAGTTTTGTGGTGGTATTTTACACAGCAAAAATTATACACAGGTACACTCAGTACTTCCCGTGCTCATTCATTTTTATTCCCATCTAGTTTCTTAATTTAGCACATTTTTTCAATGCTTCCTTACTGCGTACCTGACATTTTTTAATGAGGTGTTAAATGTGAAAGAGATTAAAACAACCCCACAAAGTCTGGAGGGGTACATATATGCCTACATAAAATACAGCATAATGATTGCTGTAAGAGGTTTACAAATTGAACAGTATTCCATATGCTCATGTGGGACAGATACCTACACCTCCTGGGTGGCATAAATAACCTTTCAGGCAAAAGTTGAAAGACATCTTTTTACCAGGAAACTATTGGTGGTGGGACACCAGTATGAGGTTGAGTGTGCATACAAGGCAAAGGGAGCAATGTAATCAAGGTCAGAAAACTAAAGAAAGGAAGGCTTGCATCATGAACTTCACATAGTTTAGTGCTGTTGTGACAGCTTGTCCAATAAATGGAATGGCAAGACTTGAGTTTGGTGGTAGCTACATTATACAAAAACCTTGCTTATCCCTCAAAGGATCTAAATTTGACATTGAGACATGTTAAAGATCGTTGAAGCATTTTGAGAAGTGGCGAAATATGGACAGAGTCACATATTAGGTGGGGGTACTTGGCAGTAATGGGTGTTGGCTCCAGAACAGACATAGAAAGACAAGAATAGAAACTGCTGCCCTAGTCCAACAGGCCTCGTGACTTTGGATTTGGAAGAGAGGATGCCAACATTTGAAAAACCTGGTCATTAAGGCCTTGCAGGAAACATGCAGTAAAGGTAGAAAGGGGTAAAGATGCGAGAGTCTGAGGGTAGCAGCAAGATAGACTGGGTTATATATCCTGGGGATTAGTGAGAAAGAAAAGAAAGTGAAGTCAGGAGAAACTGGGCTGGAAGACAGGATCTGAAGCACAACAATTTCAGAGGTGGGAGCCTTGGGAGGGAGAGAAGAAGAGAGAGAATAGGTGTCCTCTGTAAGAGCATGAAGACCTTGAGTTTGAAAGAAAATGAAAGTAATGATCATTGATGTTATGAACAATATACAAAAGTCCATTGAGTTCTATTGTTGATGTCACTGGTGTTAAGAAATAATTTTCAATAAAGATTAAAGCATGACTCATATGAATTAGAAGAAATATTTATCAAGATACTGTCAAACACATTTTAAAAATGAAGAAACCATCAAGATGGTAAGATCAGTTCAAAGAGAATTTACAAATCTGGATAGATATAAGCAATATAATAAAGGATTGTTAAAATAAGTTTGTTAGATTAGGTACAAGGCTGGCTAATGCTCCACAGGGTAACATACCATAATCTTTAGAGTTTCTTTTCTACTAAATAAAATGCTTTTGTGTCTCTACCACTCACAGATCAAGTTATCGTATAACTTCACAAAGACTGTAGCCTTAATTTTAGAATATAGCAACATCCACCAATGGCACATTCTTTTAAAAGGTCAAATAATCCTTATGAGAAAATGAAGCCATTCTCTTAGCCTTATTTATAGGTTTGGAGGGTTTTTTCATTAACAATAAAATGGAAAAATCTATTTTACATTATACCCTTATTTTTACTATCAAATGAAATATATCCAGAACCCAACCAAATCTAACCACTTCCACTGTTATCACCATGTTCCAAACTATTACCATCCCTCACTTGGAGCACTACAGCTATCCCTTAACAGGCCTCCTGACTTCTCCTCTCCCCTAATCCCCAACCACAACCTATCTCAATATAGCACCCAGAGAAATCCTATTTAAGTCATGTTTTGTCATTCCTCTATTTAAAACTCTCCAAAGATTGCCTATAGCACTCAGTAAAATTCAGTTTTTCTAGTGACTCTTAAGGGCCCACCTTGCCTGACCCTCTTTTCCTCTCTAACCTCAGTACACCCCTTTCTTAGATTACTCCAGTCATCCTGGCCTCTCAGCTGTTCCCACAGCACATCAGACAGGACCCCTCAGTATGATTTTGGACTTACATTTCACAATGGCAAGGACATGTTTTTGTTTCTCAGTGCTGTATTCCAAGTTTCTAGCCCTGTGCTGCCTGATAAGATATCCACTAAAAACATATAGCAATTGAGCACTTGAAATGTGCCTAGCTTGAATTAGGATATGTTATAAGTATAAAGCATATAACCAAATTTTAAAGACTTAGTAAGAAAAAAAGGAGGTAAAATATCACATATATTGAAATGATGATAGTTTGAACATATTGGGTTAACTAATTGTTAAAATTATTTTCTGCTCTTTCTCTTTTACTTGTAATGTGACTACTAGAAAGTTTGAAATGACATATGCAACTTGCATTATATTTCTACTGAACAGTGCCTCTGGATCAAGAGCTTGGCACATGATACCTAGTCAGCCAATAATTGATAAAAGAAAGAATGATAAGAATAGACAGGAGACAGAACTGCACAGTGATTAAGAGAGTTGGCGTGTCTTAAATTATTTGTAAGTTATTTACCTTGTGTTTCTGGTTGCTCATCTATAAAATGGATTAATAATTTCAAAAAAATGATATGGCTACTAAAGTGAGGCATCTATATGAAATGCCTAGGACCATAACTGACATATAGTTCATACTCAATTATCTTAACTATTATTGTTATTATTATTACTATCATTATAGAGATGACAGAATATGCCCACTCCCCTACTTTCTTGTCCTAATGTATAACAGATTATTTTGACATTAGATCCATTAAAAATAACTTTTAAAGAGTTATGGTTTTAATAGAGCTTAAAGGTCAAAAAAGACTTCTATAAAATTTATTCGTATTTGTTTTTAATCTTTTGAGAAGTGACCACATTGTTGAGCCATTACTAGGGTCTGCCTAGTAATGAAATGCTTCAGCACCTAATAAGAGAAGCTTCACAGTATGGGAGAAAGGAACATGAGGCTTTGGACTCCTAAGATGGGTATTGAAGTTCCACTTTAACAATATTAGTGTAGCTACATTAGGAGGTAACCCAAACTTTTCCAGTTTTGGTTTCTTTATAAACTAAAAATGGTAGTGGGGAGTATGACAAAACTATCATAAAATTGATTGCTATGACTGAATGACAAAGTCATTACCTCAAAGAAGGTGGACATTCCATATTGTGTTAGTTGGTTTTCTGCTATTTTAACAAAATGCCACAAACTATATAATTTACAAAGAACAGAAGTTTGTTTGGCTCACGGTTCTGAAGGCTGGGAAGTTCAAGAGCATGGTGCTGGCATCTGGTAGCATCATCTCATGTCAGAAGGCAGAGTGAACACAAGAGACAGGGAGACAAAATGAGGGCCAAAGTCCTGCAATAGCTAACCTACTCCTGCAATAAGAGAATTAATCCGTTCATGAGGGCAGAACTCTCGTGGACAAATCACCTCTTAAATGACCCACTTCTTAATATTGTTATAACGACATTTTTAGTTGTAAACACATGAAGTTTGGGGGACATATTCAAACCATGGCATAAATGCCAAGGCCTGACTTAATATTAATTGCTACGTCACTAAATCTTTTTCTTAAGGGTTCAAGAAATGTCAAAGGTCTTTAGGAAGTTGAAACAGCAATGGGATCAATGAAATCCTCTGTTCCCATGGTCTAGATTGTCTATGGAGAGTCTCAAGGTATTCAGGGGATGAATTTAGTTTTTACATGGCCTAAAGATGATTCATTTGTACCTTAAGAACAATTTTCTCCCTTTATTTAGTTATGAGGCCCTAGGCTTTTCTCTGCTGTCATATTTGGCCACTGCTATGCCTCATTTCATGATGACCACCCACACTTTTTCCAACAAGTTTCTTGATTTTATGACAAATTAAATTATTATGGAACTTGGTTCAAACCCCAAAGCAAGACATTACTTCTGAATAGTGAGAGACTTCTCAGAAATGAAGTCTCTAATTTGAAGAGAACTGGTCAAGAAGCAAGGTGCCAAGTGATTCTTTTCATACACACAATCCTGACTTCCCACTTCTTATGCCCAACCAGAATCTCACAATTTCAGCAACAGGAAACAAAGTGTTGCTATTCACAATCTGTGGCAGTACATCAACAGATGGGGAAAAAGGCTTGCGTTTTGAAAAGCAGCTTTTATTCATTCACATAATCTGAAATGCCCCTGGCCATGATCACCATCATCTTTGATGTGGCTTCTGCATATTGTCTGTGCAACACACTGCCTTCCAAGAGAACGGGGACGCCTACATGAGAGCAGCATGGTAAGGCTTGAAAGAAATACTTAACTATTGAACACAATGTCTTAAAACAGAAGCTCTGCGGATTTCCCCCTGTTGATACAAAATGATTCTTCTCAAGAGCTCACAGAAACTTCTTCTCAGATTCACTACACAGGTCCTGAAGGGAAGCACATTCTTTTTGCTCGTTGTGGCATATCTTGGCAGAGTTCCATTTAAAATCTCAAGGAAACTTGACACAAGCAATGGTTTAATAAATGCATTCAAGGTTAGGGAAAATATTTTCCAGCATTACTGTTGATCTCTTGGTTTACTACGGAGAAATTAGGAATCACTAACTTCATAAAATGGTTAAAAGTTCTTTGTGGATGCTCATAAAATAGTTCCTCTGTTGCCCTTCAATTCTTACATTCCTAGAGCTCCGGTTAAAATGGAAGAATGGAAAGGTAAACTAATAATGTCTCTCTCTCTCTCTTTTTCTCTTTCTGCTTTTCTTTTTCTTAATCTCTCAAACGAATAGATATGCAACACATACACAAATACATCTGTGTATAGCTGTATTTTTTTAAAAAAGGATCTTAAGACTCTTCCAAAAATATCAAACAGATACAAAAAAGTGGATCTTGTATTAATCTAAAACTCTAGAGATTTTACCTCTAATTTATGTATGTAAAAGTACACAGCCACAAATTTTATTTATCGTGCAGCATTAATTTTTTGAGATACATACAGTTTGCCAAACTCATGAACTTTCTCCTTTCTCCTCCCCCTCTTTTATTCTCGTGAACTCTCTATCTTTGCAACCTGTACTTTTCATATTTCCCATTAAAGAATTACCCCAACCACTTCCACTAAAGTCAAGACTATCCAGAAGTACAACCTAAGTAAACAAATCCTGGGCTTCTCTTTCCCTTCCTGCTATTCCATTCTACTGTAATACAGAAGCTCAATGACTTCAAACCCCTTCACTCAACAGAAAATTCTTATCTAGCTTCCCTGAAAATAAAATCACTCATCCCTTAAATTTGAACACAACTTTTTCTTCTGCTTAAAAATTGTTTTCAGTGAGGTTAATTAGTTATGTCTTAGGAGAAAAACAGTTTTATGTTAGTCTTTCCTACTAAAACATAAAACAAGAAGATATTTTTGTGATTCTTTGAAGATTATCTGCACCTATAACAGATAAAGGCCTAAACACTTAATGATAAACTAGCATAGATATTCTTATGTAACTCTTCCCACACCTTAAAGAGTTGTTTTATTCTACTTGTCAAGGATATGCCAACTGCTGTAACAAAAAAAATAGCAAATTTCTAACAATGTATAATGGTTGGTCTCAAGTGGAAATGTATTTATATTTCCCAAACAGTTCATCCTGATTAATGGACAGCTTTGCTCCAAGTGGTGTTTCAGGGACTCAAGTACTTTTTATCTTATTCTTCCAACATCTTCAACTCCTGCCAATGAAAAATGAAATAACTTTAGGAAATCACACATAGAAGATTTTTATAGAACGTCTTCAAAGAAGAGAAGATCATATTCCATTGGCTTGAACTCAGTCACAGAACCACATTAAGAATAAGTAATTCAGGAAATGTGGTCTAGCTGTAAGACTAAGAAATCAAGACATGCTTAAAGACTAGCTAGCCAGTCTATAGCAAACTAACACACACTCTGTTTAGAAAAATTATTGTAACCATTCTTTAAGAGTCAGTTTGTGGCCAGCCATGGTGGCTTATGCCTGTAATCCCAGCACTTTGGGAGGCCAAGGCAGGTGGATCACCTGAGGTCAGGAGTTCGAGACCAGCCTGGCCAACATGGTGAAACCCCATCTCTACTAAAAATACAAAAATTAACTGGGCGTGGTGGTGGGCACCTGTAATCCCAGCTACTTGGGAGGCTGAGGCAGAAGAATCACTTGAACCCGAGAGGTGGAGGTTGCAGTGAGCCAAGATCGCACCATTGCACTCTAGCGTGGGTGACAGAGGGAAACTCCATTCAAACAAACAAACAAAAAAGTCAGTTTGCTAGGAACTAATCTTCTTTGCTTTTCTTCATCAGAGAATATCTTTCTTTCTCTTTTATTCCTAAAGGATATTTACAATGGATATAGAATTTATAGTAGACAGGTTCTTTCAATACTTGACTAATATGCTATGCCTTTCCTGTGTCCATGATATTGAATTAGAAATTACCTATTATTTGATTGTTATTTGATTGCTGTTTCCCTATAAATAATGTGCTGTTGTTCTCTGGCTGCTTTTGGGATTTTTTTTGTCTTTAGTTTTCAGAGGTTTCAATTATGATGTATTCTGGCTGTGACTTCTTTGGGTTTATCCTATTTAGGGTTCCCTCAGACTCTTGAATCTGTAAGCTTTTGTCTTTCACAAATTTGTGAAGTTTTCAGACATCATTTCTTTAAATTCCTTTCTAGTCTCACTCTTTTTGTTCTGTCACTCTGATAATACAGATGCTAATGCTTTTGTTTTTGTCCCATAAAAGCCCTTGAAATTTTGTTCATTGTTTTCTAGGCTATTTTCTGTGTAGGCTATTTTCTGTTGTTCAGTTTGGCTAAATTCTGTTGATCTGTCCTCAAGTTTACTGATTCTACCCTCTGTCTACTTCACTCTACAGTTGAAAACCTACAGTGGGTTTTTATTGCAATTATTTTATATATCAATTCTAAAATTATATTTGGTTACTCTATTTATAACTTTTTTCTTTGCTGAGATTTTTCTAATTTCATATTTGCTTCAAGAGAATTTGTAATTGCTTGTTAAAATACTTTTATGATGGTTGCTTTAAAGTATTTGTCAGGAAATTCCAACCTCTAAAGCATCTCTATTCATTATTTGATCTCATTCTAGTTGTGGTTTTCCTGGTTCTTGGTAGAATGAGTGATTTTCTATTGTATCCTAAACATTTTGGATACTATAAGACTCTGGATGCTATTTAATTCTCTTTTTAAGCAGAGAGCACACCTATTGCAATGTACTCTGAGGACCAAGAGGGTGGTGTGGGTTGGAGTGAAGCCTAGGAAGTTGAGTTTCTAAACAGGTTCCCAAGTGATTGTGATGCTGCCCAGCTAAGGATTGTCCTTTGAGAATCACTGGGGAAAAAAGAAAATAATTGAATTAGATTGAAGGAAACCTGGATTTCCATGTTGAGAGCTTTATTTCCCACTGGGCCTTGTCAAAACCATGCCAGGAAAAGTGAGGCACAGGCTTTCTTTACTGACCACAAGTGGGGGTTCTGGGGTATTTTACTTTCCTCCTGGGCCTTGCTGATCCTGGGGAAGGGAGAAGTGGAAGGCTCATTCATGCTCACTTGTTGGAAGGTGGGATAAGCTTAGCTTCTGGCTGGCAGTTTCTGACACCAGGGGAAGGAAAAGGAGGAAATGGAGTACAGACTAGCCTCACCTCTCACCATCCCATCATGCTTCATTGATAACAAGTGTGGGAGCCCCACCATTGTTTGGCATTGCCATCTCAACTCATGGCTTCTAGAGTCACTGAGGCATGGAGGGAAAACAATGGAGGACCCAGATGCTCTCAAACCTTCTTCACTTAAGACCTTCTTAAAGATCTACAACATTGTAGCAGATCTGTCTAGGATTCAAGTTTTGTTTCTCTGTTGTCAACTCGTATACCATCAGTTAAGCTTTGCTTTCTAATATGTTTTATGGCAAGGAAAATGGGTGACATGTCATCAGTTCACACAAGTATGGAAATCTTAATGGCATAATCTAATAGCAGGGAGCAGTCTAGGAATTCACCCCATGTGACGGTTAATTTTACATGTCAACCTGACTAAGCTATGGTGCCCAGGTGTTTGGTCAAACACCAATCTAGATGTTGCTGTGAAAGCATTTCCTTGAATGTGATTAACATTTAAATAATTAGAACCTGAATCAGGCAAACTACCTTCTGCAATGAGTGGGCCTTACCCAATCATTTGAAGGCCTCATGAGCAAAAGAAAGAGATCCTTTGGAGGCAGAAGAAAACTGGCCTGCAGACTGCCAGACTGCCTTCAGACTTGAGCCAAAACTGCAACTCTCCAGGATTTCTAGACTTTCCATCTGTGCAAACTTTATAATAAATCTCTCTCTCTCTCTCTCTCTGTCTATATATATATAAATATATATACACACACACATATATACCTATATGTATATATTTATGTGTGTATATAAACCAAGAAATGTAAAAAATAACAAATTTTATTGATTAGATATCTGCTATACTCACTCTGACAGAAGCTTTAGCTGCTTTATTGAAATTTCAAGATTATCTTATAAGATAAATATTAATATTCCCACTTTTAAAATAAGTAAACTGAGTTACAAAGAGATTTAGCAGCTTCCTGATAAGGCACTAGGATTTGATTTAAATTCAAATTTGCTGACTCTAATGTCTTTTAACAACCACCACACATCAACTTATTGAAATTCATAACAACACTAAAGTTATATCATTTTTTCTATCAGCCTTCAATACCTAAGTTTTTTTAAAAAAAAATCACACACCCTTTGATTTTATCATTTTGTATGTCTTTCTCTCTTCCTTCAATATTTGCCTCCTCTTTGTCACCTGGATTTCAATACCCAAGTCCTGAACATGGGGCACCTTTTTCTCCCAGACTCAGTTCCATGTAATGTAGATGCACAGATGAGCTATACATGGTCTGTGCCCCAGAGAATAAATCTTTATGGATGTTTCTCCCATCGTACATTTCTTTTTCATTTTTCTGACTGTAACTTGAGTAACAAGATACACTGGGGACTTTGTCACTATTGATGAAATACAGGATAAAAATAATTGTCACTATAGGCTTATCTTCTTCTCTAATCATTTATGGAGCCCATTATGGATGCTACTTAGCATTGCCAATTAACCAACAAATACTTGAGTTTATTCTTTGTCCTTTCCTGTTTCTGCAGCCAGGAATATATAATTCTATAAGATACACTAACTTGTGGCGGCATTTACAGACTTTTAGGGAGACACAATTAACATATATAAAGCAATTAGAGAGCAGCATAATCAAGAATATATGTAAATGACAAATTGTTTGGAGAAGTGAGTTTACAGATAACTTGAATAACTGTAAAAGAAGTCATTCCAGACCTAGAGCCAATAAAATTAGGAAATTGAAAAAAGGATGCATGAGATCCATTTTGTGCATTGTTTAGGTCGGTGTTTCTTAAACTTTACTGGGCATTAGTACAACCCGAAGGACCTGTTAAAACATAGATTACTGGCTGGGCATGGTGGCTCACGCCTGTAATCCCAGCACTTTGGGAGGCCAAGGCAGGCAGATCACAAGATCAGGAGTTTGAGACAAGGCTGGCCAGCATGGTGAAACCCCGTCTCTACTAAAAAAAATACAAAAATTAGCCCAGCATGGTGGCAGGAGAATTGCTTGAACCTGGGAGGCGGATGTTGCAGTGGGCCGAGATCACGCCACTGCCCTCCAGCCTGGGTGACAGAGCAAGACTCAGTCTCAAAAAAAAGAAAAAGAAAAGAAAAGAAAAAATAGATTACTGAACCTCAGCCTCAGAATTTCTGATTCAGTAGGTCTGGAGTGAAGCCTGAGAGTTTGCATTTCCAATGGCCACTGATGCTACTGGTCTGAGGGCCACATTTTATGTACCATTGGTCCCTCTAGGTCTTTCACAGTAAGTGTCTGTGTCTGTTAGCACCTTACACATTTCAGAAATCAACTTATAAACCCGCTGTTGCATTTTCTTCTGACTTTTCTTTTACCTTCCTGAATTTCATTGTCCTACCTGCAGTAAATAGATCCTAATAAACTCTAGGCTATGCTACTTCAAAGAAAAATGTGGTGGTAGAGCAGAAAACTGACTGCTTGGATGAAACCAACATTGGATGTTCGGTTTGAAAATAATTCAATCTTTGATACTTTCATATACGAATCCAACATCAAAGTGAACTCCCAGGTTCTGTCAGATTTCTTCTTTCTAGTAAGAGATGAAATGTTTGTCTGCTGTCATTCCTTAACACAATAATTAGACAGTGTGACAATACAGTTTTCCTAGTGTTTGTAATCCTTGATCACATATTGTAATCATAAATATAGGCCACAGACTGAATGACTTAATTACAACCTTGATGGTAGACTGATAGAGAAAAACCTCACACTATCCTCAGGGTAAAAAAGGGAAGCTTTTGAACATATTTTAGAATCAAACTATGGCAAATATTTAGAAATGTAGTGCTGATACTCAATCTAACATAATGATTTTAACATGCCCTGACATACTTAACTTTTATGCCTTTATGCATGTTCCACTTAGCACATATTTTCAATTCATCCACATCATGCCAAATTCTCCAACTTTTTTCAAAGCCCCCATTATGTTTGCTCAATCCATTGACCTATCACTTCCTTTGTTGACACCCATTTATTTATTAAACACATTCGACACAGTAGCCTCTATGCTAGATGGAAAAGATATAAAGGTGAATGGAACATAAGAGAAGCACCTGATGGTTAGGAAAATATGCTCGTAAACATATAAACACAATAAAGTATTAGAGGGTTATCATAGAAGTATAATGGCTCAGTTTGACTAAAAAAAATCGACCTTGTTTTAATGTTATTCTCTGAAATATCATGTGAGCAGATTCTGTCTTTTTCTGCTAATGCAATTAGTTCCGCATATTCAAAATAAATCTTTTCTCAATGTTATAACAATCATTGACTTGTGTGTTCAACATTTAACTTATGTAAAGCCAACATATTTAGACCACTCCTCCCATTGTAGTGACAGCATAGAAAAAAAAAGCATTAAATTCCTTACCCCGACATTTCAATAGTTAAAAATACAAATCCTCTGAACTTATCTTATGTATTAGTTTTGAGCCATGAAAATAATCAACATTAGATGTGGGAGACAGAAGTTAGATAGCGGTCAGACATTTCCTTAGGATCCTCCCCTCTTCCACCATCCTCCAGCCCCAACCCCCACCAAAAAAAGCCTAGGGGTTTTGCCAGTGTCCTGGTAGGCTGAGATTAAGACTTTGTAGGACCCAAAGGCCAGCAATACCTGGCTACATTGCTGGACATTGTGTATAAAAATATATATAGTGCGTGTGTATATATATACATACTATGTAGTGTGGGTGTGTATATATACAAATATAGTATATAATTTATGTATATATATACACACAAATACAGTTACATAATAAACTGTATTAGAATATATATAAACTGTACTAGTATATATAAACTGTATTATTACATTTATATATAATGTTTATATATATACCTAAACTGCATTAGTAATTACACAAAAATTTTAAACCGTGCAATTCTTTTTCTACTAATTATTGTGCAGTAGTAGAAATATCATGAGAGAATAACACTTTCAGATATTGTTAAGTACCACAGTGACATTTGTAGACACTTCTCTGGTCTCTAGGATATGTCAACAAGACAGCCAGTACATGTTTAATGGAGAGCAGTGGCTGGAACAGATTCATTACGCTTGGCCTTGGTCCCCCTCCATCTCCTAGAATGGAAACATGTGTCAACACCAATAGATCACATAATCATTTAATTATTAATCTGAACTCCAGCTTTCTCTTTTATAAAGGTCTATAGTTCAAATGCATGTGTTTAGTGATTCCTCTAAAATTCTATGGATTCTCAATTTCATAGGTACTTTCACTCTTAGACAGATAGTATATTTGAGCTGATAATTTGACTAGTTAATAGGTAACTTTGAAGTTTTTCTTTTGCACTGACAGTTCCCCTCGCAGTTTTAAAAGCTATATCTAATAAACCTTATTTTATTCTGAAATAAAAAATTGATTTCCAGAGAATATAATAAATGGAGAGTAAAGAAGTCCTCAGAGCAATTAAAATGCATGTTCTCAAAAACATCTACCTTAATCCTCATGAAATCATGCAAAAGTGCCCCACTCAGTGCACACCTAGCATCTTAGAAGGAATAAATTGAAAATGAATTATTTTATGAAAGCAATTGAATTTTATGGTTTTATGTTCATAATTTTACTTTGTTTCAAATGTTTTGCTTTCGTATTCAAGTGAGTATGAACTGGGATTAGTCCAGCATAAAGAAGAATGTTGAAAACCAAATGGTTCCTTATTACATTTCTACCATGAAGAAATGCAAAAGATAGAAGGAACTACTGGAAGAGCAGGAAGGAATGGTCACTAATTGGGAAAGAGGAAACAGTGTAATTATAAAACATGACTTAATCTTTAGAAAATGCTGCCAGGTAAAATCATATAGTATAGCAGAAAACAATCACACGTCTCAAATGCCCCAGTTTATAAGTTTATCACTTGGATATTTTGTTTTGTGTTGCATCCTTGAGCCTAGACATGCACCTAGGAAGCTCACTCTCACCAATAATATTCAACCAGCAACATTGCTCTGTTTTTTAACTCAAATGACTAAACTTTTCCATACACAGAAGGTGCATGAAAAGACAAAGCTGAATCTCAGCTTTGCTATATTCTTACTTTGTGATCCCAGGCTGCAGTCTTGAGTAGAGCTTAATGAGTAGCTACTGTTTAGTGACCTCTACTACATGTCAGACTATACATATATATGCATGTATTATAACTAATACTTACAAGTAATCGTATAGTCCTAGAAAAAGACTATAATCTTATCTTATATATAGCCAACAATCAGTAAATGGCTAAATTAGATTTGAAATGACATCTTGTTTTTTCCTTTCTTTCTTTTTTTTTGAGACAGAGTCTCACTGTGTTGCCCAGGCTGGAGTGCAGTAGCATGATCTCAGCTTACTGCTTCCTTGAACTCCCAGGCTCAAGCAATCCTCCCAGTTCAGCCTCCTAAGTTGCTGGGTCTACAGGCATATGCTACTATGCCCAGCTAATTAAAAAAAAAAATGTAGAGACAGGGTCTTACTATGTTGCCCAGGCTGGTCTTGAACTCCTGGGCTGTAGTGATACTCCCACCTCAGCCTCCCAAAGTGCTAGGATTACAGGTGTAAGCCACCTGGCCAAAATGATGTCTTTCAGTTTCAAATCCCATGTCCTATCTCTGTCCCGCATCCACCATGCTCCTCCCCTATCTGTAAACCCAAACTCTTAAAGAAATGGTCTTAGTCACAGTCTCACCACTGATTAGCAAGGTTCTTCATTTCTTTATAGAGGTCTTTCTTTTCTCCACAAACTTTATTTTTTATACACCTATGACTCAGAGTAGCAAAGCCCCTTTTGTGCTTCTGTTCCTTAGAATAAAAGTGCTGGAGAAATTAAAACCATAGCACTGAATCATTATGAGTAGTAATGAAAGAAATAGGGATGATCTTATCAATCACTCTTCAAAGGTATAATGTGAATGTCTAATTACATAAACGATAAAATACATAGCACTGCACTACCTTTTCATACTTATTTTTGTCTTTTTGAAACTTCAGGAGATATAGGACACAGAATAAAATGAAGGATAACAAAAGATTAAAAAATAGATGAGAAAAAAAGAATTACATGGTATACCAGATCTTACTCAATTTTAGATTATTGGGAGAGAAAATTTACCGGTTGCATAAATTGGTGAACTAGGAATGAAACAAGACACAACTTTATTGGGTCTTGACACAATTTTAATTCCAGGAGTGAAACTTTTGACCTGATCATTTCCCTTATTTTAACTCCCTAATGTAAAATGGGTCAAATGAAAACTTCCTTTTCTTATTCATGGAAATAACATGATATCTGGATTATAACATTATAACATGAAATAAAAATGGCCATAAATGTTTCATGCATAATTTTAATAAAGTGAGGTAAAAACAAGAAGTCTGTAGCCTCAGAGTTCTCTGTGTGATCTGACTTGATTTTACCATTTACCTCCTGCTACATGGTTCTGGGTTTGTCTTTTTATTTTTTTTTTTCTCTACTAGATTTTTATTAGTAATGCTAAAAATAAAAACATTAAATTTATGCAATGATCTGATGGGCAGAAAACTTTGGAACTCCAGTTTAATCACTTAAATGGCTTTGTTGTCATGAAAGAAGCCAGTAACTTCTTATCTACTTAATACTTCCTTTTATGATGTTCCGTGACAAAAATTGTCTGCAGGATTTTGGGTTTATAAAAGGAAAAGGACCCCACCCTACCTCTCCAATCTCATTTTTTGCTCCACCAGCATCTTTTGCTGCAGGCAAATTGGACCACTTGAGTTTCATCCAAGGTGCTGTGTTCTCAGTTATCCTGGTGCACCACGTGTCTTATCATCTCTGTTCCCCATCACTTCTACTCAATCTTCTCCTTTTACCTCCTGCTACATGGTTCTGGGTTTGTCATCTGACCCAGTTATCCCTAGCACTTTGACTGAGCCCGTTACATTTTACTTGTTTCTGTTCCAGTAGGACACTAAGAAAAACCTCTTTTATAACACCATATGATTCAGCAATGTCACTTCTCGGTATTTTCCCAAAAGAATTGAAATCAGAATCCTGAAGGGATATCAGCACTCTCATGTTCATTGCAGTACCATTCACAATAGCCAAGATGTGGAAACAACCTAACTGTCCATCAACACATGAATGGAAAAAGAAACTGTGGTATAGACATGCCATGGAATACTTATTCAACCTTGAAAGAGGAGGAAATTCTGTAATATGTGACAACATGGATGAGCCTTGAGGACATTATGCTAAGTGAAAAGGCAATCACAGAAAGACAAATATGCTTTCATTTCATTTATATGAGGTATCCTAAATAGTCAAGTTCTTAGAAGCAGAGAGTAGAATGGTGATTGCCAGGGATTAGGAGGAGGGAGAAATGGGGAGTTACTAATCAACAGGCATAAGGTTTCAGTTAAGCAAGTTGAATCAGCTCTAAGATCTGCTGTACAACATTGTACCTAGAGTCAATATGTGTCATACACTTAAGACTGGGTTAAGAGGATACATTTCAAGTTAAGTGTTCTTACCACAATAAAACAAAACAAAACAAAAGCACTTACAATGACTTTGTCTGCCCCCTCACAAGACAGCCAGCTCCTTGATAGCAAAGACAATGTCATATCTGCTCCTGTACGCTCAACCTTTGCAATGGGCTCAACACGTAGTAAATCCTCAAAGATCTTTGCTTCATAAGTAGAGACACTGCAAATAATTTAAGCTTACAATTGTGCTGTGCTTTATTAATAAAAATGGGGCTTCTGACCTATTGTTCAGTAAAATTTAGATATCTTTTATTATTTTTTTCCCAAGTATATTTATTGATTTTAAAGGCACTCTATTTCTGGCAAATAGTCACATGCTAATAGAGGAGAATCAAAACTTTCCCAATATTAAAAAAGTGATCATGTTATAAAAGAAAATAAAAATTCACCTTAAATAAATTTTATTTAAATTTCATATTTATCTCAAAAGATTAAAAAAATAAAGCAGAGATGTGTTCTGCCCACAGTTAGAAAGCGAGTTTAGCGTAAATATTGAAATTCCTGCCTTCCCAACGCTATGTCACAATCAGGCCCCATTCACCCCGTGGTCCCAGTTTCCACATGCGTCTCAGAAAGAGTTTCACTATCTCCATATCCATTCCTCAGCTGTAGCTTGGAGGAGCCCCATGGGGTATTATTATTTCAGCCAGTAAAAGCTAGATTGACTCTAAGCTTGAATCATGCTGAGACTTTGCTTAGGCTGCCAAGTTCAAGCACGGTTCCTCTTGCAAGAAGAGTTTTACAGTTGTGTGGCCGAGGCCACTGAGTCATTTCCTCCCCCTGCTATGGGCACTACTTCAAACAAGACCTCACCTCACCCTTTCCCAATGGAGAGGAATCACAGGACCTTCTAAATGAAAGACTGCTGAGCCTTGAATGGCATTGTTAATGTTCCTCACAGACTTACCCTATCAGAATTATAACTTAAAGGGAGAAATGCCCAAAGGGCTTGGTCCTGCTCATTTAATTGGTCCTATGCTCCCTTTAGAGGCTTATCCTAGAACATTTAATTAGGCTAAAGAGCGCATTCCCTCTGTAGAATGGAGAGTGGGAAAGTGTCCAGTATTTGAAGGGGAGGATAGCTGGTTGTCAAAGGTAAGCCCATTTCTAGCTACTCATGCTTGATAATTTTTTTTTTTTTCAATTGAGACAGAGTCTTGCTCTGTCATCCAGGCTGGAGTTCAGTGGCACCATCTTGGCTCAATGCAACTTTTGCCTCCTGGGTTCAATTGATTCTCCTGCCTCAGCCTCCCGAGTAGCTGGGACTTCAGGCTTTCTTATTCCTGCTTATTTAGGATTGGGATGTAGATGACCTCTCTAATGTCATAGTGAGGTAGGCAATTTTAAATCTTATCATCCCATTGTCCAGGCACATGGCTCATGACTGTAATTCCAGCACTTTGGGAGGCTGAGGTGGGAGGATCACTTGAGCCAGGGGAGGTCGAGGCCCTCTCTCAAAAAAAGAAATCTTATTACCCCAGAACAATTATATTCCTGGAAATTAACCAAATCAATTTAAATATGGCAACAAAAGGTTATTTTAAATAAAAGAAGCTCCCCTTGCTTGAAAAGCTGGCTCTACTATTAAAAAAGAAATTAACAGGGTGGAGCATGGTGGCTCACGTTTGTAATCCCAGCACTTTGGGAGGCAAAGGCGAGTGGATTGCCTGAGGTTAGGAGTTCGAAACTAGCCTGGCCAACATGGTGAAACCCTGTCTCTACTACTAAAAATACAAAAAACCTTAGCTGGGCATGGTGACATGTGCCTGTAATCCCAGCTACTCTGGAGGTTGACACAGGAGAAACACTTGAACTCTGGAGGCAGAGGCTGCAGTGAGGAAAGATTGTGCCCCTGAACTCCAGCCTGGGTGACAGAGGGAGACTCCATCTCTAATAATAATAATAATAATTATTATTATTATTATTATAACAATAATAATAATTATTATTATAACAACAATAATAATAATAATAATTATTATTATTATTATA
The DNA here is from genome assembly GCF_000001405.40 of Homo sapiens. NCBI lineage: Eukaryota > Metazoa > Chordata > Mammalia > Primates > Hominidae > Homo > Homo sapiens. Next base: position 7,194,602 of record NC_000020.11, on the reverse strand, counting down.
ACAGAATGGCGCTCAATATTCAGAAACAAATTTAAATTGGTGTAAATATGTATGTGTTATTGAATATTTGTGGAAAAAAAATTAAAGCCACTTCACATTCAACTTGAGTATTGATTAACCTACATTTAGAAAAGGCTAAGAGAGAAAAAGAAGTTTACTTTTGCTTTGTTTTATTTTGTTTTCCTTTTTTTTTTGAGTCACAGCCTTGCTCTGTCACCCAGGCAGGAGTGTAGTGGCACAATCACGGCTCACTGCAGCCTCCACCTCCTGGGATCAAGCGATTCTCCTGCCTCAGCCTCCCGAGTAGCTGGGATTACAGGCGCCCAACACCACGCCTGGCTAATTTTTGTATTTTTAGTAGAGATGGGGTTTCACCATGTTGGTCAGTTTGGTCTTGAACTCCTGACCTCGTGATCCACCCGCCTCGACCTCCCAAAGTGTTGGGATTACAAGCGTGAGCCACTGCACCTGGCCTGATTCCTTAGTAATATCTTTAATCAAAGCTCTGAGTACTTGATTGAAGCCAAACCTGCAAAGCCATGGCGTTGAGTTCCTCCAGTTCTGGCTCTATTCACACTTCATCTCAATCTTTGCAATGTAGCTGGGGTAGGACATCTCAGAAAATGAGCTTGAGGAAGACCAAATCAAAATATCTTTGACATAGATGATTATCTCCTGATCTGAAGATGACGGAAGATGTGACTCATCAGGGGCTGGAACACTGTGAGGATTTACGTGGGCAAAATGGCATCAGAAGCAGCAAGGATGAGCTGAATTTGACTTGGCAATGCTCTTTTCTCTTCCTCGCTTTTCTGAGTTCCTAGAAATTCATTTCTTGTAAACATCAAACACTCAGACTGTTACAACAATCAGGGCACCTATAAAGCTTTGGTTTCAAAGGAGATAGATGAGTGTCTGCTAAACAATGTTACATTGCAAGTTTTATGGATAACTTCCCTTTAGATTTGGATGGGGGCTTGAAGACAGTTTGTGCTTTCAAAGGATTCCAGTCTCAACATAAGATCACACTCATGATCTTAACATAATTAGATATAGTTATTTTGCTACTACTCAGTAAGTCCCACAGTAGACCATGTGCTGGAATGACATGCAAACTCCTCAGTGGGTGAGCCAGAAGTCTTCCTAGGCAGAAAAGTATCATAGTTTGGCACAATTTGCCAAAGTAAAGTCTTCCACTCAAAATAGACTCCTCCCAATCCTGGCCTTGCAGCCAGGCACCTTAAATGTAATCACTTTCTGTATGTTACTCTACATATAGAGTGGCAGGGTCAGGGTCATGTGGAATGCAGTTGTGGGCATATGCAGATACAGATAAACAGCTAAGTTCCCAAGATAGCTGTAAATGTGCTTATTTTCCTAGAGTCAATTATCAGCAGGACATACAGATAGAACTCAAATATCAAAACCATAGGCAGTCAAAATATACCTCAAGGTAAGAGAAGGGATGAGGCTTAGACTTGGCTTGTTCCTTGTCTAGACTGGAAATGGAGAAATCTCTCAATAGAAGTGTGGGCTAATTATCTGTATTAGGAAAGGCCTCAGACTAAAAACTTAACTGAGTTGGTTGTGACCGTCTCCCTATCCAGTACTCGTCAGGTCACTGATCGAACAAACCATTTGATTTTGATGCGAGGTAGCACATGGCAAAGGATAACTAAGTCTTTTTTAAATTGCTTTCCAAATGATATCCTTTAAAACACATTCCAGTAGTCTAGAATTGAAACTGAAATCTCCCAGGACTTCCCTCCCTTCCTTGTCAGAGGCAGTAGGTGGATAAATAGACATACTCCACTCTTCTTACAGGTCTTTGGAAAGATCAGAAGAATGAGCATTCTTCAGAGTTGACTGGCTTTATATACACATACAGCTGTTTCTTTATCCAATGGGTCAAGCAGTAAACCAAAACACCATGGAATCAGTGGTTCATAGGAACTACAAAGGTAGCCATAAAAGCATATGCTGAAGAAATAGAGGCATATATATTTGTTGCATGAATAAATGGATTTTGCTAATATCATTAGGCAGCCATTTGAGTCACTGAAGGCAGACCTGCCAGGCCAGGGCCAGCATTTCTGTCATTGCCTTTACTAACATGGCAAAGCCAAAGTCCTTTTTTTTCTTTTTTTTTCAGACAGGGTCTCACTCTGTCTTTCAGGATGGAGTACAGTAGTGCAAACACAGCTGACGGCAGCCTCAACCTCCCAGATTTGAGCGATCATTTTACCTCAACCCTCAGAATAGCTGGGACCACAGGTGCATGCCACCATGTCTGGCTAACTAAAAAAAAAAAATGTTGTGGAGATGAGGTCTCATCATGTAGCCAGGCCGGTGTCAATCTCCTGGACTCAAAGTCTTAAATGAAAGAGAAGACAGTGAGTCATGGGTCCAGAGGAATAAATAACGGGAGATCAACAAGGAAGTTTACTGTAATTCACAGGTGGCAAAGACTAATTCAGAACATATTCTACAAATGGAATGTATGTACTGAACAGACTGACTGATATATATATAAATATTTTAATAGATTTTTAGCTAATTGATTTTTGATAAAATTCAGCCAAACCATATGATTCTGCCAATATTCAACTATGTCAATGAATCAATTTGGGGTAATTTCATAGGACATAATTCTAGAATGTAAGACGGGATCCCTCTTTGTTGCTTAATGAACTGTTTTAGGGTAGCATTTCACAGAAGAAAAGTGTATGTACTTAATAGAAATATATTAGTAATCTGTACTTAATAAAAATACTTTACAAAGAATAATGAGGAAACTTCAGTGTAGGAAGCTGGGTAAGGGTTGGGTGAACTTCACTCAGCACCTCTACTGATATTTCCCTTAGGAGGAACAGCTCTGCTTGTTCAGGACATCATGGCCAACTCACAGTCCCCTGACCCAGGACCAATTTGAGGCCATCACTTCCTGCCTTGTTCTGGTTTACCTGGTGATATCACACACTATCTGGCAGCGAAGAACTTCATGTGCTCTGCTAGAACCAATATCTTCCCATGACAAAGATGTTTCTGCTGGGTGTGTATTCTCTTTCCCCATTCTTTTGAGATAAACAAGAGCCACCTACCTCTTCCCTTAAGTTGTACACTCTAGATTTTGTACTATTACATGGTTAGTTAGGACATGGCTGTCTTCACACAATTCTCTCTCTTCCTCCCTCTCTCTCTGGAAGTGATTATTGTTGCATTGGGATACATTTACTCAGCAAAGATTTATAGAGAAAAGAAAAAAAAAGTATAGGCCAAATGTTCAAGGCCACAGAGTTGGACTAATAAGAGAGCCAGAGCTGTGTTCACATTCCTGGGTCCTTCATCAGGCTTTTTCCATTCTTTCAATCTCAGACATCCTTCAATGTGGTGCTCATTTTATATCCCATACTCATCTCAGGTCAAATCTCCTAGATAGGCAATCAAACCTAGTGACTGATTTGTCTACTTCATGTTTTAGTAATGACTTTGAGCCCAAACTGAACACTTTAAATTTTACTTTCCTCTCTATTGTATTGTCCTTTTGTTCTTTCTTATTTTTTTTTCTTTTTGGTGCATTTTGGTCTGTGCATGCATTTTAAGAACACTTGAGGCATTCCTATGTAGGTAGCAGAGGATTTCACCAATGATTCTGTTCCATCTCCCATCCCTATACTCACATTTCACCATTGTGTTTTAGAACCCAGAGAACTTCTCTTTTCCATGTCTTGATATTGTTTTAATTTTTTTATTTGTTCATTCTTCTTGATCAACTGGTGTGCTAGGGAAAGCTTGCATAGGATTTCAAGAGTTAATTGTGCACGTGCCTTCTTAACTTGAATGGAAGCTTGACATTAGCCACAGTAGAAGTGTTTGTAGAATGGAAATCAACAAATACTACAAATCAGGGGATTTGGGGTATTTTGAAAGGCAATTGTTAACTCTTTCATTTACTATCCTACTCCTCTTTCTGCTCCACCATAAAAAATCAAGCCATCTTGTTCCAGCCAACTATTTTTTTCCTTTGTGGGGCCTCACCATTGCTAAATGTTTAGAATGAGGCTGTATTTTACAACACCTCCAACAATGTAAATATTCTTCAGTTGACCTGATGCCTCAGCCAGGAGATCCCTCTATTCCCAAAATCAGAGTAAGACAGATATACTTGAGTTATCTCTCCCAGGCTCACATCTGCTAATACTTCAAGGAAAAGAGCTAACAGAGACTGCCTGTATTTGCCATCTGCATTTTTCTTTTATTACTGTGAAGGATGATGCCATGGTAGAACCTTCAATTTTAACTAACTCACCAGATAAATACAGCCACTTGAGTGATCTCCTGTGAAACCAACAGAAGAACCACCCCATAATCTACATAATCTTGATAAGTAATAATTTCTTGTTTTAATGCATCAAGTTTGGGGGTGGTTTGTTATATATCAGTGGATAACAGAAAAGAGCATCTTTCTGTTCTACAGATTTGCAACTGAATTACAAACCACTCCTTAACTTCTTACCTTGGCTTTGGGAACCTCACCTTTTCTAAGGAGCTCGTCTTTAGGAAGGTTCAGTTACAGAAAAAGAGGGGGAGTAAAAAACCTAGGACAGGGCCCACAACATGCAATTGAGAGAAATCCAATGCAGGAGAGCCATTTGAGTAAACAGGAAGGCTTTAAAAAAATAAACACACACAACTGCAGGTGGCCACCAGTCCCCTGAGTGAAATTCTTAATTTCCAAAGACAAGAGCAGGCTCCAGAGATCAGACTAAAAAGAATACATTCTTTTGCCCTTTTTTGCTATTGGGTCACTATAGTTGTTAATAAAATTTTCTCTTCATATTTAGTGCCCGTCCTGAGTGTGCTGGAATACATATAACTAGGGAGTGCTGTATGCCTTCAAACAACTATCTTACAATATCTTCAAAGCTAAGCCTGAAAATGAGGTAAAACCCCAAACAAAAGACTTGATGGTGGAAGCAGAAGATATCTCCAGAGATCATTTAAAAAGGCTAACAACCGTGACAATTATCTCCTGGATGTCCATTTGTTCACATCTTACTTCATGCACATGATAGTCAGATTGTGCACACTTGACAGATCATTCCAGAAGAGGCCACCTTGCCAACAAAGAGTCCCTCGGGAATATTCAGCCCTTAAATCTTCACTGGGATAGGAATGCCTCAAGATTTAGCATTAGTCATTCTCAACCATGTATTTGAAGAGGACTACTTATTCTGACAGCATGCTCTAATTGAAGACACTGAAGTTGAATTAAAAATATAAAGGGCCAACAATTCCCTTTGGGTACTTAACAAGTCCTAAATGGTAGAAAAGTAACCAACAGAGAATTTATAATTCTGTTCATATGTTACTCTCTGGGGGATTATACATTATTAAAACTTATTGAAAGGGAAGCCTTGTGTTTTTCCTTCTTCACTTAGCCTGTTTTCTCTTTGCACTTCTCTCAGTGAGCCTATAAAGTGAGCCTGAGCAGGTTCCCATTAGCTGTGGTCAGTTTTAATTTCTGGTTCTCATGTGCAAAGCTGATGTGTGTAGGTTCCCAATCCTGGAAGGAAAATGCCACGAAACCATTTCTGGCATTGCTTAATTAAAACAAAAAATGCAGCCTGCAATTTACACAGCAAAATTTAAGACAATCCGTTACCTCATGTGAACAAATTTCTTCACTACATAATTCCATAATTCTTTGCCCTCAAAGACCATTTGCCCATCTCCTCTAAAAATTTTCACATGAGAAGAAAGGTGATGAAATAAGACATTTTCCCCTCTATTCCAGTGAAATTTGAAGTGTGGCCTCTCTAAACTTATTTGGTAAAAACAGAAAAAGTAAATTCCTCAGTATTCAGACACCATAGTCCACAACTTCCATTTTGAGCCAACAGCTAACCACCATATGCATCATAAATTGAGAAACTGTGGTACTAAGCCCCCACCTTGCTGGCCAGTACTGCATTGAGAAGAGGCCAAGATCAAATCTTCTAGCTTTTATCTAAATTTAGTCCTACTTCTTTCAGCTTCAAGAAACAGAAGCTTCACTCAATCTGGCTTTCAAAATGGTGAGAAAAGAAGTGGACTCACATAATTGAAGAGGCTTGAGGTAAATCAGAGTTTCATGTATGGCTGAATTCATCAAGAAAATCTCCTTCTCTATTCCTTGAAATGATTTTCTTGAGGGTTTGCTTTGTTCTCACAGAAGGCTCTTCTTGTGTAGTGGAAAAGATAAGGAAAAGTACCAGCTTACATTTCATATACTAAGGAATCCCAACAGAAAGAAAGTACCTCTTATTTAATTATTCCAGGGAAAGGCCTAGGTCTCCATAATTAGTCACTGAAGCCAGAAGATGGAATAATCTGATGTGCCAGATTTTGGTTTTTATTTTGGTTCAGGTTTCCCCAGAAGTAGACCTTGAGCTAAGGATTCCAGTGAAAACAGTTTATTGGAAATTGCAAGGAACACAGGTGGGTGACAGGGAAGTCAGCCGATTTAAGCAGTACTGTTAAATCAGATACCAGTGAAATATTATAGTTTAACTTTGCAGTAATAGCCTCTGGCTAAACCAATACCTAATAATTACCCTTGCCAAGAAGTGAGAGATTCGGGGTACTTACATTGCTATACCCATCAGATATTAGGTAAGGCCTACCTCCAGACGGATTCCCCATCCCCCAGTCACTTTCCACCTGCCTTGTGCATGAGAAAAGAAGGTTTCGTCAACATGAAGGCAGATGTCCAGCAAGCATGCTTTTGCTAGCTGATGGAGGCTAAAATTTTACACATGGAAATGGAAGGGGTATTTGAAGAGATATGGGCAGAGCACCAACAGTCTGCGATAGATCCTATCCTCATTCATCATTGAAGGGATGCAGGGTTTGGTGCAATAGCCATACCCAAGCCACATCTAATGAGAGTAGAGCAGGGATAGCGTTTACAAAAGAAAACTAGAGTTCTGTCTTCAAGAATAAAGAGGAAATGTTCTTTGACAGGTAAATCCAAGAGATGTTCTCTTGATTAACTGAAACATGAATAGTGCTTT